>NC_000013.11:92616615-92919645 GCF_000001405.40 Homo sapiens | reverse complement strand
TGTGCTACTGTATTGCTTCTCAATAGAGTTTTTGGTGACTTACATGAAGGCACAATGTATTAGCCTTGTTTTCTGGCTCAGTATTGATGCTGGTCTACTTCCCTCCCACTTGGCTCATTTGGTAGGAGTAACAACCAAGCATAATAATGTAAATAGAGAGGCCAGGACAGAGGGACGGAGGACAATTAATGTAGGTGATAAAAACAATCCTTCAACAAAAACACTGGATATACAAAATCAGTGTTATTATGGGACAACGTTTATTTTCTAGCAGAAGTCTTTAGATATCAATTAATGACTATACTATTTTTCGGTTGGTGGAATATGGATTCCTAAATGGTTAAGTCACTATTCTGAGGTCACATATTATCAATGGGAGAGGAAGTATTTAGCTGTCTTCTTATGAGCATTGAGTCTACTGCAATAATTCCATAAATGTGATATGGAAGAAGTACACTTTAGAGAATTATATACGTATGTGACCATTAGAATGATTTTATCTTATTTGTCATTACAGCCAAAGTAATTGTTTTGTTGAATTTAGTTTTTATTTTTGTCAGAGTTACAGATGCACTTCTAAACACCTTTGTTCTGCTCTTACCCCAACTTTCCTGCTCCTGATAGGCAAACAATGTTTTTTCAACTATTAAGAAACCCATTAGTGGCCAGGCACGGTGGCTCACGCCTGTAATCCCAGCACTTTGGAAGGCTGAGGCGAGTGGATCACCTGAGGTCAGGAGTTCGAGAACAGCTTGGCCAACATAGTGAAACCCCATCTCTACTAAAGATATAAAAATTAGCAGGGCGTGGTGGTGAGCACCTGTAATCCCAGCTACTCGGGATGCTGAGGCAGGAGAATTGCTTGAAGCCAGGAGATGGAGGTTGCATTGAGCCAACACAGTGCCACTGTACTCCAGCCTCGGTGACAGAGTGAGAGTCCATCTCAAAATGAAAAAAAAACAAAACCCATTAGCTTTATTATTATCTCCATATATTTAAATAATATGCTTTTTGTTCTATTCTTTGCTTTCTCAGTTTTAAGTATTATGTACTAACCTTCTACTATGAAAGATGATACAGATCAACCACTCACACATATCCCATCTCTCCTTCTTCCAACCCTGTTGTATGATTTTGGTTAGGCAAATATTATTTACAGTTCAGCCAAGCAGTGTATCTTCTTGTCTTTGTTTTGTGCATATTTTACTTCCTATGGGGTAAATAATGGTATAGGTTTAGAAAAGTTATATTAGTTTTCTGTGAACTTAAAATTAATTCATCCTCAAATTGTTACCTCCTCCTAATTCTAAATGTTATCTTAATATTCTCAAAGCTCATGCAGCATTTGTTTTATCAGTATCTCTCCTTAAAAACAGTTGCCCCAAGATATTTCACTTCAATGAGAACCAATGGAAGCCAACATTCTGAGACCCTTTCCCCATTCACTGAGGGGTTCCTCTGCATTCTTTCTTAGGTGAGAACCCGTGTTTTCTGTATCCCATGTGCTTCTCCCTTTGAAACTTCTTTCCTTGTTTATTTTGGCCTTCCTCCTCTAATAGCTTCTTTAGAAAGACTGCATTGTTGGTAAACTTTTTGAGAACATACATTCAGGAAAAAAAAAAGAACAGATAACGGTAAGTTTACTTTCACACCTGATTACTACATTTTTGGAAGTAATTTTAATTTGGAAATTATTTTATTATAATATTTTAGCTACTGTTTCATTCTCTTGTAGCTTTCGGTGCTGGTGTTGAGAAATTCAGAGACCTTTTAATACTTGATCGTTCATTCACATACGATCTGATTTTATTTTCTGTATTTTCTTCTGGAAGCTTATGGGGCTTTTTCTTTATCTGAACTTTCACAAGAATATGCTTTGATATGGGTCTATCTTCTCATGATTCTGAACACTTGTTGGCCTGCTTTCACTTTTGAAACTCATGTCTTTTAATTTTGATAATTTTTCTTGAATTATGTTTTTATTCTCTCTCTTCCATATCAAATCTGGTTTGAACATAGATTTTCTTATCTGTTTTTCTCTACATTTCATCTTTTCATAATTTACATTTTTCTGGAAGATTTCCTAACTGTGTCTTCAGATCCTTCTGTGGAGTTTATTTTTAATTCTTGAAGACTTTATTTAGCTCTCTGATTATTCCTTTTTATTGTATATGGTTTTATTTTCATATCTTCTCACATCTCTCTGAATATATTAATAAAAAAGTTTATGCCCTTTAAAAGATGTCTTAGTCTCTGTCCCGTCCAAGTTTTTTTCATGTTAGTTTTCACCTGTCTTTTATTTTAGAAACTCTCTGGAGATATCTTCTACATTTGCGTGTTTGCTTCTATTTAGGAGTGCAAACTCTGAGTGTGTTGGTGGATCCTGTCCATGGTGGGGTTTACTGTAGGATGATCTGGTTGTGGCAGTATATACAGGCATTCCTACTTGGGCAGATCAGATCCCTGAGAAGATTTTTCTAATCTCTTGCCTTGATAATACAGCCTTGGCTGCCAGAAATCAGGGAGCTAAGTGAAGAAGAAGGCTGGGGTTTCACAAAACTCATCATGTAAACTTTTACTTATGTTTCCAGGCCAATTATACTCTAAATGCATCTGTGTTTGTCACCTAGGGACCTCTGTTTTACCCACTGCAGAGAACACATCTCTTGTCTTCTGCTAGGATCTGGGATTGGTGGGGGTTTGAGAACTGGATTTTTTTTTTTTTTTTTTTTTTTTTTTGAGACGGAGTCTCGCTCTGTCGCCCAGGCTGGACTGCAGTGGTGCGATCTTGGCTCACTGCAAGCTCCTCCTCCCAGGTTCATGCCATTCTCCTCCTTCAGCCTCCTGAGTAGCTGGGACTACAGGCGCCTGCCACCATACCCCCTAATTTTTTGTATTTTTAGTAGAGACGGGGTTTCACCATGTTCCCCAGGATGGTCTCAATCTCCTGACCTCGTGATCCGCCCGCCTCTGCCTCCCAAAGTGCTGAGATCACAGGCGTGAGCCACCACGATCGGCTGGGAACTGGATGTTTTAACTACTTTTCAGCAGTTTGGTTTGAGCAGTGTAATTACATTTCAACATTTTGTTCTGATTTTTTCATATCCACTTCCAGAGGTACAAGGTAGTACTATGTCTGGGGGGTTGTGCATTGTCAGGTAGGTTGCTTCTTGGCTTTTTTCACTTTTTGCTTGAGTTTCAAATTATTTGTGTCTGCTGATCCATTACTATTTGTTTTTCTGCTTTCCACCTCTCAAAATTTTGTGGCTATCATCCCCTCTCCCACTTCATATATCCTTGTATGGCTACATCTTTAAACATATCTCCTTGCTGGTAAGCATGTGTGCTCTGTGTGTATGTGTGTGTCTTAAATATGTTTAATATGCCATATTTTCTGAGATATCCTCTAAGTTCTTTATTGTTATTTATCAGAAATTTAGGGCAAGCCTATAATATACTTTTCACTTGGACAGAAACAATGCTATGAGGGTAATCTGACTCTGAATTAGGTAAATAAAAACAATAGAAAACGAGTAAGGTATTCTGCAAAGTGGATTTAGAATGTGAAGAATTCTACCATGTGGCGAAATTTGTGTGGCAACAACTTTTTGTAAAAGGTTGTTTGATTTTGTAACATGATATTAAAGTGGCTCGCAGACTAATATTTGAGAATAGTTTTCATAGAAGTGGATTAAAATTAATTTTGTTTATATGATTTCATAACTTTTATACAAATAATGAAAAACAACTACTATAAAACTGAGATTAGTAATCTATCTTCTAAATCAATTTAAAATGTTTCATTCAAGATAAAAAAGATAAAAGATATTAACGAAGAAAAATTGGACTTTTAAATGCTTACAGCAAATTATTGATGCATATTTGTTAAATATTTCAATAGTTCATTTAGAGATATGAAGTTGGAATTAAGTTATCAGTTATTTTAAAGATTTCCCATGAAAGTACTGTTTCCTGGCTGCTAGGAATTTGTTTGAGATACATACATATAAATCATTTCAACTTAGCAAGATTGTATATATTTTAATTACATCTATGACTTCTGGTATATCTAATTTGAATGTAAATATTCCATTAAAATTGTGCAACTTAAATGTTAGAAAGTGCAACTCTTGGAACTTTCATTTTTAAAATGTCATAAAATTATTTTTGGGGGCTGAGATATAAACTTTGAAAAATGTATTATCAGCAATAACAATCAAATAATCAAATGGTATCGTTTTTCCAGGAATGAAAATCAAATATGTCTTTGAAAAACTTATGTACCTTTAAATAAATTTTAAGTCATTCATATATCATGTACTTATTAAAAGGCAATTCATGTATTCTAACATTTATTGAAAATATTCAATGTGTCAGATCATTATTGGCCTAATTGATACAAATAATTGCTTTCAAGGTGCTTGGTGTCTAAGATAAATTTCATTCTTGATATTCTCCTTTTTCATAAAGTGAAATGTGGAAAATATTTCCCCCATTTCCACATTTTCAAGAGAATGTTAATGCATAGAGGGAGCAGGGTGTTGAGGAAAGGCCTGTGGACTTGGGTGCAATTCAAGCCTTAATTTAATTCCTGCCTTTGCCACTTACTGACCAGTTGGGCTTGGAAATCTTTCTTATTGGTCTAATCCCAATTTCTACAGGCATTAAGTATCCTACAGGCTTGTTGTTAGAATTAAAAAACATAATATATGTACAAATACAAAACACATTGTAAAACTTAACAGTTTCCTTTTATTCCCTTTTTTATAGATCTTGACATATGCAATATACCAAGTATAACATTAGCTCCTTGGACACATAATCATCATTGAAGCACCAACAGTTTTGATGGAAACAATGTAAATATTTTGAAAAAATATAAAGCTAGAAGGGACTTTAGAAATTATGGAGTCCATCTCTTTCATGATCACCTATCTCATAGTTACTCAGTTAATTAAAGACAAAGCCAGGACAAGACTCAAGTTCCTCAGCTTTATGTTCTTCCACCCTTATAATAGCAAAGACATGAAAGATCATTTAAAAAATGGTAGTAGACTGTAAATAAATCTAAAATAAAATCAAAATTATTTGGGTATTTCAATATCCCCCTAGATGATAGTTTAAATTTAGTGCCTGGTCCTGACAAGAGTTGAAAAATCTATGACCATGACCTTTGTAGATTTCTTTGTAGAGCTGGTGACTGTAAATAGTGTGCCAGATGTTTGTGCTACCGTTTCCTAGTTCCCTTATGAAATTGTTATTGTTATTACTGGATGTTCACTACCAGTTCTCCATGTTGTTTCAGTCAGAAACTATAAACAACACCAGAAAACACTTCCAATATTATTTCAAATGCCCAAGTCGGTTGATAGTTGGCTGCTTTCAGAATTGTTCTCTTCAATACTGTTTCTTTAATCTACTTCTGAGGGGGAAAAAATGTCTGGCTGCTTCTGTTCAAACCACCTTCAGATATCTTGGTGACAAAAAAAAAAAAAAAAAAAAGAAAGGTAAAAGCATATGTTTCTAATGAACTGTAAAAATTTGGAGGGGAACAGGACACTACCTAACTGCAGCCTTCTCACATTCATTCCTAAACACAGATTATAGAAAGCTGTGGTTTTACAAGCGTTGTACAAGGTACAGATATGTAATCTTTCAGTTCTCAAGTTACTCCTTGAGTTATGTGGAATCTTCTTTAAAAAAAATCACAAAACAGATGAAACATTTTTAAAGGTGGCAATTTTATTCTTAATCTTTCCCAGATAGTTATTCAAGTAAGTATAGCACATAAACTTCTACTATTCTGATGTTACTTGCAAAAGTATCTGCTGCTGTGCAGATCTAAGAAGAGTGTTTATCTGTTTGGACCTTATCCCAAAGTCACACTGCAGTGGGCCTAGGCCAGTTCCTTCATTAACCAACCTTAAAAGTGGTTATAACATCAATGTATATCCTGAATTACATTGACAAGCTATTAGATATTGGGACTTCTTTCTATCGTTTTTGGTTTTGTTTTTGCTTGATTCAAGGAGAAGTAGCTTCCATTGTGTCAGTATCTGTATTCAGCACAGACATCCTCTGGACCACAACTGCAGGCATGGTAGCTGCCCCACCAGCAACACTGGGTGAGCAGAGACTCTGACCTCAAGGGTGCTGGCCTAAACCACTCAGTAACATAAGTACAACCAGCTTACACTCTAAGGTGGGGAACGGAACAGCTTTGGACATTGTTCCATGCTTAGTTACTGATCTTAAATATTTGTTGGAGAAGTTGGGGTGAATATAATAAAATTAGATTCTAAAATAAAAAAATTAAAAATTAAAAAAATTTAAAGAAAATCACAGAGAAATACATGCTGGGCAGCTTAAAGATTTGGCCTATAGTGCTGAATTCAGTTCTCAGACTGCCTGTTGTACACCAGCCAAAAAATGCTGATTTATGGTGCGAATAAAAGAAAGGTGGTCTCTATGGTCCTGTTTCATCCTACAAAAGCCACGATATTTCAGATATTTTAAAGAAGAATTCCTATATTAAAGATGAATTTGCACCACTTCCATTGGAATTCTCTCATACTTTAAATAGATTTGCAGACAGTGGGGAGTTTGCATCAGCTTTATTTCCTCCCCATCCACACTTTATCAGAAGTGAATGATCCTTTTTTGATGCATATGTGTTATATTATCTGCTGCACATTTCCTCTCTGCAATAAGCTGAAATAAAAGCAATTATCCTATGGCTTCCCCCTTTCATCCCTCTCCTTGACTTTCTGAATAAAACTAATCAGATGGAAGCAGACATTCACATTTTGACCGCAGACAGTGACCCAGCATAGAGACTGCTTTGAAAGAAGGAGCATGATTGCAGCTCTCCTGTTGCTGTCATCCTCTTGCCTGAACAGGAAAGAAATGAGAACACCAATTCTCACAGAGGTGGTACTTTCAGATTTTTTCTGTGGATGGTTAAAGTGTTTAAATTATCAGTCTCTCAAAATGCACACACTACTAATCTCACTTTCACTGTTGACATGTAAAATACATTATACAGCTAACATGGGAAACCATTTTGAATAAAATGGAATGATACCAGTGCAAGTTCAATGATTATGACAATCAAGTGTTTACGGAGCCTTTTCTCTTCATTGCTCAAATTTCATTTGGTCTTGTACTGTACCATGTACACTTAGAAATTTCTGTGTACAACATGGGTGGATCTTAGAAGGCTGGCTGTTGGGAAAATAATTACAATACTTTGATTCTCTCTGCATATGGGTGGGAGTTAACAGATATAAAGATCTTTACAGTATGTCAAAAATAGAATGAACTGCATGTGAACTAAAGACTCACTTGTCTTCTCCTTCTCATCATGGTACCTAGGGCTTCCTAATTCCAGCAGCAAGTACAGGGCATGCAGGAGGCGCTCTCTGCCAATATACTACATAGTTATTTGTGGGGAAAATATAAATAACAGGTACACACGTGTGCATGCAGCATGCACCCACTTTAAATATGTGCCAGGCCCTATGTATCAATGTATTTATGACATCTCTTTCAATTCTTATGAGTTCTTTTCTTCAATATGTTGGGAGTACCTATTTTAATGAGTTTGTATTCTCATTTAATGTAAGAAGACTGAAACACAATGATTCAAGTTTTTGCCTGAGTAATTGTAGAATCCCAAATTCATGCTGTTTACTCTTAATTGCTCAATTGCAGTACAGTCTCACCCCTCACACACCCTTCCTTTGCCCCCTCTGGCTGAAAGCTGGATTCTCTCAGGTTGATTAAGACAAAGGTTTCTGGAATGTGACCTGGAACAAATCTCACTTCGCTGTTCACAGCTCCGATTTTTCTCAGTAAAATGAAAAACTTTAATAGATCTTAGATTTCATAGATGTATACAGCAGCAGGCTATTTGCAAAGAAGCTGCTCTGGCTGAAGTCTGCATAGGGTCCAAGGCCCAGACCTTGGTTACTTCTGACAAAGGGGCGTTTCTTTCTCATAAATCAGGAACCAGCTGTTCTATTTGGGTCCTTTTGCTCTATTTTTTTTTTCATTTTTTTTGTTTTTAAAATAACAAAGTAAATAGTAAAAATTAATATAAATCTAGGATTTTTTGTATGATTAGTTTTGCTATTATGGCACATGTGCTACTAAAAAACATTATGTTGAGAAAAATCTCATCACAAAACCGCAGGGCTTATTGAGAAAAAAGATGGAGTTAGAGGCATAGCACTCAAAATGTTGTCAGTGACCCACAGTGAAGTTAAAGAGAACAAACCACCCCAGATCCTTAAAGGTCTGGGGATCTTCTCTGGTGGGCCCTTCCTGTTTCTATGTATAGATATTAGCCCAACTGGCCATGGTTACTCAGTGGACGTGTGCTGAGGCATTTGTTACAGATATGCCTCACACTTCAATCTCTTCAATTCTTTTTTTCATTCAGTGAAAAATGAATACTCTAAGACCTTTAAGTTCTGGCACTGTTCCCCAAATTTCATTTACAGACAGTTAGACCTAAATCCCTAAATGTCAATAAACAAAATAAGCAGTATAGCTAGCATTCAAAAAAATGTGATTAACACGTACAAGGGTTCACACAAAATTCTTTAAATGATTACTTCACTTAGTCTTCAAAGAACTGCTGAAGTGTGGGTTACTATTCATTTAACAGATACATAAGGGTTAGTAATTTGCCCCAAGTTGATAGTGGAGTGGAGGAGACTAACATGGACATGCACGCTGATTTGCTTCCTTTGTGGCCAATGCACTTTGAAAACCACACTAAGCTCTGCTGCTTCCTGAGAGGAGTCCTGGATACCTTGAGTTGCAACCCAAGGCCTTTTCAGTTGCTTGCATACTGACCACATTCACTCCCTACTTCTAGCTCCTTCTGCCAGTGGATGTCCTTTCCCTCTGCCTCCCCTTTCTCCCTTCCATTTCTCCTGCTACCAGCTGCCCCATATTTCTAAAAAAGTTGTCCAGTATTTCTGAGATTGAGCTTCAGATTAATGGCCTCCACTGTTCCCTGTGTCTAGCCTGCCAGACTTGACCCACAGGAATCATCTCAGCCACTCGTTTGGCCACCTTGGTTCTTACCTGGACCTGGGCTTGGTTCTCCTGATATTTCTCCTCCCTCAGTCTTCCTCTGAGGGCTCTTTCCTCGAAATGGTCCTAAGTGAATCCTTGATAAAAACTCTCTTATTCTTAACCATTAAATAAAGTTTTTCATCTTCTCTGCAGGGATATGTATACTCTCCTACCTCTGTTGCCCCTGAATCTAACAGGCCAAGAATGCTCGTGTTTCAGTTAGCATAGAACAAAGGCAAAGTCTTTTTCTCAGGAATCTCTTAACTTTCCAAGCAGCATGCAGTTCTGGCATCAAAGATTATTTTCTCCTTGCTTTATTTCAAGTAGCCAGATACCCTTCCTGTGGGTATATATATTATGTTTGTGTCTTCAAGTAGGTTTGGGTTTTGTTTCTTTATGAGAGAGGATTCTGAGGTTTGAACAAACTTGCACTGAATTCTTCATTTGCACAGGGAATTAATTATCTTTGCTATTTCTGTTTTCAAAACCAGGATACCTACTGCCCTTTCACACTCAAAATGATAGCTGTCAAGGTAGATTAATGAGCACCATCAGGCATATTTGGAAAAGGCAGAAGCGATGAGATAATTGTGCCATTGACAGTAGGAATGGTATTTCGAGGAGTATGAGTTAATTGATCTATACACCAAGCCAAGCTTTTCTAAATCAAATACTCTTCAAGGAAAGTGCAGTTAATTTTTCTTGGCAGTAGGCCCTGTGTTCTGCTGCAGAAGGTAATGGTATGATAGCCCATCCATCCTCTCTGAGAAAAAGACTTTGCTGGCTTCAGGTTGTGCTCTTATGTACGAGTTAGATTTTTGCATTGCTATTGTTCCTCTTCTATTAGGATCTGAGAGTTCAAAGAAAGTCATATTCTCTGGGCGGTTGTTTTGGTTACATTGTTTTAGTGTGGAACATAGTTCCTTTGAGGTAGTCAAAGGGAGCAGACAAACTGTTAAAGGAAAACCAAATGGCAATTCAATTGTCAGGAAAAGGAGGTAGAAATGAAATATGCAATCTGCACAAGGTATCACTTCCCTCCAGTCTCCATTTCACACCTTCACGGTGATTATTTGTTGAAAGTATGGGACAGAGACACTTCTGTATTGTGCTTATATACACACTGAAGAAAAAAGAAAAGATTGTCAGAATCTAATTGACAGAGAGCAATTGTTTTTACAATTTCAGAGTTGCTTTTGTACTCTGACATCCAACACTTGGATTATTTAAAAATAAATAGGGTTGCATGTTTTTTTATGCTAAGAAAATGCTTTTTCTTTTATTGTAAATGATTTTTAATCAAAAAATAAAAAAAGAAGCCTCTTGTTCCCCACCTTCCCAGAGCATTAAGTGTTGGTTAGATTGATACAATAACAAGTTTTCTGCTAATGTAAACTGTACTGAAGGTACAAACATCATTTTTCTTTTACTAAAAGGAACCTTGGAAATCACATTTTAATATCTGTATTTCACAGATAAATAAACAAATGGAAACTTCTAGAGGGTCAGTGACTTTCCTAAGTTCTCACCTTTTTTCAAGGCTGGTTGGATTATGCCATTATTCCATTGATCCCTTTGTATGATTAATTATATTTCCTCTATGAACCTCCATACATTTATGGTCATATGACTGTTAAGAAATATATTTTGCCACCTGGAACTTATGCATATCTGGCAGAAAAGGAGAGGGTGAGATATTTACATGCCCATCAATAGAGAGACACTGACCCTCCCCAGTTTCGGACTACAGAGAGGCCCCTGGAGGCTCCAGCGATTCCTTAGAAAAGTGCCCAGGGCTTGGCTCATAGCAGGATCACCAAGAGTAAACCAATCTCTACATCTTTTGTGTCCTCTTCCTTGTGGCCTCAGTTTGGTTATCCCATTATCTTGGACCAGCATCCTAGGGAATGCTATGATCGTCAGGCCTTTTCAGTGGGGAAAACAAATCATTCTGATATTTGTATTCCCATTTAAACATATCAGAGTTTCATTCAAACTTCATTAGTTTTATTCTTGAATATATCTGTCCAACATTGAAAATCTAATTTTAATAATCAAATTACTTCTTTTTCACATATATATGTGAATATATATAGTGTGTGTATGTGTATGTACATTTTATATGGGTATATTAAAATATATATGTTTTGCAAATAATAATGCCAGTATGATAATTATCAATTAATTGCCAAAAGGAGTTTCAGATTTTCTTATTGTTCTTTATTACCTTGGAGTATATTCTACTAAGAATGAACAATTAACAGTATCAATTAAATTTTTGTTCTTTTCTTCTGTGGTGGTTTGTTACCAGTTTGATACATAGTTAGATTTGCTTGTTTTATTTTGGTTTCAATGTTAAGGTGCATTTTTTTGGTTCATTTTGATGGAATATTAAAATTTTAATATGTAAAGTATCAGCATAGTCCCCAAATCAGGTCTATGTAAAATGGCACAGTCAGAAGTTTATCTTTATCTGTGTCTCCACACTCTTTTCCCTTTCAACCATGTGCTATGTGTAACCATTATTTATTAATTTCCAGATTGTCTTTAGGGTTTTTCTGTAGTTGTTGTTGCAAGCATCTCTATACCATCAGTGTGTGTTCTTTTTTCTTGTTAAACATATCATGTAATTTCTATTCTGCATCTTTCTATTTTTACTTGACAGTGGTCCTGAAAATTATTCCATACCAGTAGAGATCTCCCACTTCCTTTATTTATTTTTTGCTATTTTGCTTTGATTTTTCCAATATTGTTTCACCATTCTTATCTGTCAACATTCACTTCTAACTTTTGAATGTTACAGATAATGCTGCAATAACTAATCTTTTTCCAGTGTCATTTTGCATTTATAGAATATGCCATCAGGATAGATTCCTAGAAGTAGAATTGCTGGATCAGAGGGTACATTCATAGGTAGTACTGCTAGATATTGCCGAATTCTTCTCAATAGTGGAATTATTTTGTATTTCCACTGTTAATATATGAGAATACATGCTTTCTAGTGGCCTTATCAACCCAGTTTATTGTCATTTAAAATTTACAAATCTGATGTATGAGAAATGGTTATTAATAGTTTCTTTGGCTTTTTCCATATTATGAGTGGGGGTGAGCATCCTTTCATATGATTAAAGATGATTATTAAAGGTTTGCTTTGCTGGCTATCTTTTAACATAATTGGGTGAAAACCTATGATAAAATTTCACAAAGATATAATCCTTCTTTGTGAATTAATATTAATCATATATTGTAAAAATATTTCAGAATATGATGTAAAGAACTAAACTCATTTGTTGTGTCACCTACAATTATTTCTGAATTAATCTAGTGATTTAAGATATTAGTGATTGCATCTTTTTTTTTGGTAAAAGTACCATGATTTTTTATTTGCAGAGTATAGAACAGAAATAGAGTTGCACCATCTAGAGGCAATATATTTTGAAATATTACCTTTCAGTCTTTTTGTCTATCCTTTTATAAACATTATTCACTTATCCATAATCTTTAATCACTCAGTACATTGTAGATATTATTATTTTGAACAAACCTTTAAATGTTAGATCTACCTGGTCAACATGGTGAAACCTTGTCTGTACTGAAAAATGCAAAAATTAACCAGGCATGGTGTCACACACCTGTAATCCCAGCTACTCAGGAGGCTGAAGCAGGAGATCGCTTGAACCTGGGAGGCAGAGGTTGCAATGAGCCGAGATTGCTCCACTACACTCCAGCCTGGGCAACAGAGTAAGATTCCATCTCAAAAGAAAAAAAAAAGTCAGATCAATTAAGAATAATAAAAATACAAAAATCATTTTACCTTCATCTGTTTATTCAATAATGCTTTTTTCTGTATTGATGCATACTTCTGAATTACATTTTTTCTGAAGAATTTTTAACATTTCTTGCTAGATAAATGTGCTGGTGACAAATTCTGTCAATTTTCATTTGAGACCTTTTTTTCTCTTTCATTTTTGAGGAATAATTTTCCTGGATGCAGATTTTTAGGCTAGTTGCTTTTTTTCCTTAAAAACTTTAAATATTTCATTCCACTCTCTTCTAGCTCGCATGGTTTCTGAAGAGACGTCCAGTATAATTCTTATCTTTGTTCGTCTCCCAATAAGATGTATTTTTTCCTCTGGCTTCTCTTAAAATTTTGCTTTGTCTTTGATTTTCTATATTTTGAACATGGTAAACATAGATGTAATTTTTTTGTTTTCCTGTTTGGTGTTTGTGATTCTAGGGTCTGTCATTTGGTATGTGTAATTAATTTTGGAAAATTCTCAATCGTTATTATTATAAATTATTCTTCGCTCCTTTCCCACATTCCCCTCCTTCTGGTATCTCTATGTATGTTCCACCTTTTGTAGTAGTCCTACAGTTTTTTAGATAGCTACTAAGTTTTTTTTTAAATTCTTTTTTCTCTTTATTTTTCAGTGGGAAGTTGCTGTTGACAAATCTTCAAGCTCTCTGATTCTTTCTTTAGTCATGTTCATTCTGCTAATGAACCCTTCAAATACCTTCTTCATTTCTGTTATAGTGTTTTTGATTTCTAGCAATTTTTTTCTTAGTGTTTTTTTTAATCTCTCTGCTTACATTACCCATCTGTTGTTGATTGTTATCCACTTTTTCATTAGAGGCATTAGCGTATTATTCATAGTTATTTTAAATTATCAGTGGCAATTTCAAAGTCTCTTCCATGTCTGCGTATTTTTCTGATCTTTGCTTTTTCTCTTCACACTGTGTTTTTGGCCTTTTAGCATGCCTCACAATTTTTTGTTGTTGTTGAAAGCTGGATATGATGTATAGAATAAGGTACTTAAGTAAATAGGCCTTTGTTTTGAAGTTTTATGTTACCTGGCTAGAAGTATAGGTCTGTTTACTCTTGACTGTGGCTGTACTGTCAGAGACTAAAGTTTCCTCTCGGATCCTTGTTTTTTTATCTCCATTGCTGTCTTTGGCTTTCCCTAGAGATTCCTTCTTAAGTAGTGTCTTATACTTTCAGCTCTTTCAGCTGTAATCCTGTTATTATTCAGTAGCCCTATTGATGTGGTGGTAAGTCATGGAAAGCAGGAAGTGTTTTATAATCCTTTGATTAGGTTTCAATGTTTTAGCGAGGCTGGGTACTTGGGATGTGACCTTCTCAAGTGCTTCTCAGCTCCTACCTTCACTCCCTTGGATGGGGCAGAAAGGCTAGAAGGGGCTGGAGTTGAGCACTTTCGTTCTTTCACTTCAAAGACTAGATGGGACTGGAGCTTAGGTATTTTCTTTCCTGAGGTCAATTTGGGTATGGAAAAACCCAAATGGGTTAAGCTCTGGTAAAATAGTTTTCCTTAAGGAAAGGCCTTTTTTAAGTGTAAGACAAAGCTTTGGGCATATGACACAATGGTTACTTTTTACCTCCCCCTAACTAAAGTATTAGGGGACTTTTCTCTTTACAGTGAGAGCCTGCTGGGGTTCTCATGGAACCTCATGGAAATATGGGTACTCCCCTGAGACTGGGTCCCCAGAAATGTTTCTCTCTCAAGCCAGTCCATGTTCAGTTGCCAGCCATTAGTCAATTGAAATTATTCTTCCCAGTTGCTCCTCCAGCAAGGCTTCTACTCCAAGTAAAATATGATTCTCTATATTTGCCCATCTCTCCAAATTTGGGTCAGAGGTTTGCTCTGTGACCTGAATATTCTGATGGATCTAAAAATTGTTGGGTTTTGGTTCATTCCACTTGAAAAAAAAATTATGAGGATGGGAGTGAGGACTTCGAAGCTCTTTGCATGTCTGGCCAGAAGCTGGTATATTCTATTAATTTTTGTAAACATTATCTTTAAAAAAAGGTAGTAGTCTGGCATATGTGTTTATTTCTAGTTCTTTTGTTTCCCAGTTATTTTATGCTTTTGTTTACACAAATAATTCCTTTTAAATAATGATTTGACAGTAGGTGTCCATAAGTGATAGGAATTTAAACATTGCCTTTTTAATGTCAAGGGATGTCCCTTCTAAATTAAATACAGATTAGGTTCATTTAATTGAATGTACTTAAAATTTTTTTCTTTGATATTTTACATGCATGTAGGCCTACATATAAAAGATTCCTGCTTCAGATACTAACTGAATCTTTTTCCTATCAAGTAACTTTCAGATATTTCTACATAGGTAAATATCTAATAAAACTGGGAAGGAAAAAGAATCCCATGAGAAAAAAAATTCTTATGAATAACTTCTCTCAATGAACATCTTTATCAATTATATTGTTTCATTTATGACGCAATTTCTCTCTTTTATGGAAACTAATATTTGTAGTGTTTTGGCAAATAGAATTTCCTCTGAAATGATTGGTGTTGATGCTCTGGAAAAATCAGATTTTCTTTTAATTAGGACTTCTTTGTAAATTAATAGTAAAGTAGTATGACCTCTTTAAAAATCTAGACACCAAAGTCTTATCTATTGAACCACTTTTTTTTTTCCATACAACAATGCATATTTCCAAACTGCTAAAGTAATTGTATTAGAGCACAGTGGAAAATCTAAGTTATAAATGAGGTACATGGAGCCAACATCATCATCACTCTTTAGGGATGAAAGCACATATGGAAACACTTCATGGATTCATTAAATACCAATCTGAAATAACATGACATCAATATTGGTAGCTTGAAAATGGTAACATCTGACAGATGGCAACCAATTAGAGCAATTAGCAATTAACTTGTGTGTCTGTGTCCCACCTTCATCCTCCTTCACTTGCTTCATGAATTTCTACCATCCTGGATATGTTCCGGAGATTCAGTCTCTACTACAGACCATTGGGATAATACATTTTGGTCAATTATTGAAAATGAATTTAGAGAGAAAGAGCATGTCACTCTTCATCACGGATTCAAAATATGACTATTCTTTTTAGGTAAAATGTAATTTAAAATAAACCCATAGACCATTGTTTTATAGGGCAAAAAGGAATGCTAAGAAAAATTAAGCCACAACATTTTTTTGAAACATTTATGTATTGACATATAAATAGGCTTTTACTATACTGGTGGCCCTCTAATATAGTTCAATTCAAAAAACACTTTGAAAAATATTTTTCCTAAAAGTCTAAATATATAATCATGCACATTACAGCCAAAAAAAGCCTCAAAGAACAAACAACTAAGAAATAAAAACAAATATAAAACTCTTGTGATGTTTACCTTGTTATTAAATAAACTAAGAAATAAAAACAAATATAAAACTCTTGTGATGTTTACCTTGTTATTAAATAATTACATAAAATAATTATTCTTTGTATATATTCACATATTTGATTCACTTGCCATGTGTCTAATACCAGGCCAATGGTATTTTTCTGCAGAATATATTTTATAAAGTAATCTTTAATTAAAAATCTTTTTAAAAGTTGTATTTTATGTGTCATAAAACTCATTTGAGAAATATTTTCAAGATAAAACTTATCAAATAAAATGCCTCAAATTATTATTTGTATTCACCAGTTTTAGATGTTGCAAAGATGGGGAATCTCTCATTTGAATTTGTGTAATAAATATACATTTATATAATTCTGAATAAGATTTCTAATAAAAGATTATTCCCACAAGATAATATATTAAAAACGTAGACTTTAGGGAAGACTCCTTTTGTTTAATAATTAGATTAAGTATTTCCAACTGATTTTGGACAAAATGAGAACAAAATTTAAAGGACTCATTCACACAAGAAACTCAACACAATTATAGGACACTAAGCTTGATTTATAAAGTATTTCTTCAAAAGTTCAAACTTTCTAAAATTCTATTGAATACAGGCAGATAAAAGAGAAAGAATCTATTACCATGCTGAAATATGTTTTAAGTTCAATGTCAACTCCATCTCAAAAATTGTAGTTCAGCTAGTCTGTGTGTGTGTGTTTATGCATGTAAATTTTTACAACAACACTTCTATTCCAATTTGAAGAGTATTAGGATTTTGGATGCAATTATGAAATATATGTCCGCTGCAACCGACTCCAATAACCTTTCTGTTCTGTAGGCTTTCTTAATTTAGTAAGAATATTGTTTGCATCATGGCACTTACCCACTGAGCTCTACCAAAATTTGTATTATCACCACAGAGCAAGTCATTTGTTCTTAATGTTGAACATATAAAATAATTTTACAATAACATTTACAATGTTAGATGTTTTACCTTTGGCAAAGTGAGCTTCCAATATCTTGACTCTGATTCCATGAATTGAATATAAACAATTAAACCGTTATTAGAATTAACTAACTGATTTTCTGGCTTGAAGGATCCAATGTGACTTATATAACAGTGACATTATTTAACTCTTTGCAAAGTTCTTCTCTAAAGAAATCAACACAGGGATCCTTCAAAGATTGCCCCCACCTCCTTTTAAGGTCATCTTATTGAAGCCATTTTTGCCATTTCAATCATCTTCAATTAGTAGATGAAAGAACAAGAAGATGAGGACCTGATTATAAAGTTAAAAAACGTGTTGTTTGAGCATTGCACAGGTTATTCCCTAAAATAGGCAAACAATTGAGGTGACGACACAAGACCCTTGCTCTGCTCTCCAAACCGTGTTTCCTTGTGGAGGCTGCGCCATCCTGGAAAAGTGGGCGATTTTTGAATTATTACTGGCTGCCTGTCAAACCACAAAGGTGCAGCTGCCCAGCTGGGGCTTTTTGCTAATTCATGTGAAGATTTCCTGTGGACTAGGTGTTTCTTTGAGTATAACAGTAAGGGAAAATACCTTTGAAAGATCAGAAAAAAAAAATAGCCTTCCCTCAAATCATTGGCAACTTCCAATTTAGTACATTTTCATAAAACTTTTATTAATTTGTATTTTATTTGGTTAGATAATTCTAGAGCTTTAACTTCTTAAAGTTCAAATACAGATGTTCAATATGAGGCATTTTAAGGGATTGTCCATCATGTCATGAACGGTTTGGTTAGCCTCTTTCTGAATGAGCTACCATATGACTGTTAAGAAATGTTATAGGAAAAACTTTTCCTGTAACTTTATTGTATGCCAAAAGAGACGAAGGTTAATGACACAGGTGCTTTTTTCCAAATATAACTTTTCTGTGTTTGTGGCGGGTTGGGGGGGATGTCAATTATGAACCCTAAGTTATGAGGAGTTGCCATTTCAATAAAGAAATGTGAAATCATTATTAGCTATAAAACATTCCAATTAGGCAGTTTCTAGAACTAGCCTTTTCAGAAGTCTCTCCCAACTCAACATTTCACATGAGCTATGTTTGAAAAATGAGGGGCGCACATGAAAGTTTTGGAAAGGCCAAGATGGAGAAAGAGCTCTTCTCCTTTTTTCTTTGGAAAAATATCACCTGTTCTTTTCTAGTTAAGAGTTACACTGGGTAACAACTAAGGATAATTCATTAATGATGAAGAATTCAGCTCTCAAAAGGATAACATTTTTGATAGAACAGCTTTTATCTAAGGAAAGCCAAAGATTGAAAACATATACATACTTCTCCAATATCCTGTGAACAGTTTGACAGAGCTCTATGTATCTCATTAATCTGATAACAATAGACTTGTATAAAATCAACTAAACTGTAGGCTCTTTACACAAAGCTTGAAAGATTAAGGCATGATAGCTTTCATTTTCTTCATGTTATTTTATTTTCTTCTGCCACTGCAAGATAAAAAACAAACTACTGAGTTATTTATCACTTCCTTCTTATTTGTTGTAGAGTCATCTTCATTCTGAAAAATCATAATAAAAAACCCCCTATGAATTGAGATGGGATACAAGAGCTCACCAGATGTAACTGTATCTCTCCATGAAAATAAACTGAATGTTTTCCTTAATCAATCAGAATGAATAATGTTGATGGGCTTGGCAGTGACTAAATCAGGGCTGCCAGCTCCAGCTACCCGGCATGATTTCATCTTTCCAACCAGACTAAAAAATGCTTTCCCTCCTTCACCCTGGACAACTTTATTTTCACACGTTCAATTTAACAAAGCTCAAAAGGAATTCTAAAAGCTTCGCCTGTCTCATGAAATGTTTACCAGATATCTCTACAGGATGGCAGCTGCACTACAATGTTTCATAATAAGGAGAAATAAAGTGGCCAGTAAAGCTACTGAGGAGCAGAAACAGACACATTGGTGGGAGGTTATTTATTGTCAGTCATGCTACAATTTTGCATTTTTCAGCAATTTTGTTTAAAACTTCATTTAAACAACTGCTTGCTATAGAAAATGGTGAACAAAGGTAGGGCTGTCTTTGTTTAAATCCACTTCCAAAGTTTAGCTGAGTCAGTAACTCCCCTTAAGTTTCTATTTTTAGTGGGGGTTTAAAAGCTTGATGAAGCAGTCTTCTGTTTTTTCAGCTTCAACGTATATTTCTACAGTTAGTACCATAGTGACTCAATAGAAGCACATTTAGAGAGAAAGAACCTTTGGTCTTTTAAAGCAATTCTTTCTGTTTATAACATCATTGACAAAGTAAGCCTTTGGGAAGTAAGTACAGGGATAGTAGGTCTAATAAACTAAGACTTTCGTTTTGGTGTTTGTTTTTGTAAGCGTATAAATATATTTCAATTCAAAGTGATTTACATTTACTAGTTTATTTGTTCCCCATAATGACCCCATTTTGCAGATGAAGAAACTGAAATACAGATATTTTATTTTTTGATTTAATTTTTATTTTATTTATAATTTCAACTTTATTTTAGATTTGGGGGTACATAGGCAGGTTTGTTACATGGGGTATTGCGTTATGCTGAGGTTTGGGGTATGAATAATCCTGTCACCCAGGTGTAAGCATAGTACCCAATAGTATTTCAACCCTTGCTCGCTCCCTCCCTTCCCCTTCTAGGAGTTCTCAGTGTCTATTGTCTCCATGTTTATGTTCATGAGTACCCAGTGTTTAGCTTCCATTTATAAGTGAGAACATGTGGTATTCAGTTTTCTGTTCCTGCATTAATTCACTTAGGATAACAGCCTCCAGATGCATCCATTTTGCTACAAGGGACATTATTTCATTCTTTTTTTATGGCTGTATAGTATTCCATTGTGTATTTGTACCACAGTTTCTTTAATCCATCACTGATGGGCATTTAGGTTGATTCTATGACATTACTATTGTGAATAGTGCTGTAATGAACATATGAGTGCATGTGTCTTTTTGGTAGAATGATTTATTTTCTTTTGAATATATGCTCATTAATGGGATTGCTGGATAGAGTGGTATTTCTATTTTTATTTCTTTGAGAAATCTCCAAACTGCTTTCCACAGTGGCTGAACTAATTTACATTCCCACCAGCAGTGGGAATGTAAACATTCCCTTTTCTTTGCAGCCTTGCCAGCATCTGTTGTTTTTTGACTTTTTAATAATAGCCATTCTGACTGATGTGAGATGCTGTCTCATTGTGGTTTTGATTTGCATTTCACTGATAATTAGTTATGTTGAGCATTTTTCATGTCAGTTGGCTGCTGTCTTTTTCTGAGAAGTGTCTGTTCAGGTCTTTTGCTAACCTTTGAATGGGATTGTTTTTTGCTTGTTGAATTAAATTCCTTGTAAATTCTGGATATTAGACATTTGCCAGATGCATAGTTTGCAAATATTTTCTTCCATTTTCTAGGTTGTCTGTTTACTCTGTTGATAATTTCTTTTGCAGTGCAGGAGCTATTTAGTTTAATTAGGTCCCACTTGTCAATTTTTGTTTGCTGCAATTGCTTTGAGGGCTTAGTCATACACTCTTTCCTAAGGTCAGTGTCTAGAATGGTGTTTTCTAGGTTTTCTCCCAGGATTCTTATAGTTTGAGGTCTTACATTTACATTTTTAATCTATCTTGAGTTAATTTTTGCATATCATGAAAGTTGGGGGTCGAGTGTAATGCTTCTGCATATGGCTAGTCAGCTATTCCAGTACCATTTATTGAATAGGGAGTCCTTTCTTCATTGCTTATTTTGTTGACATTGTTGAAGATCATATGGCTGTAGGTGTGTTTCCTGGGTTCTCAGTTCTGTTCTATTGGTCTATATGTCTGTGTTTGTACAAGTACCATGCTGTTTTGATTATTATAGCCTTATTGTATAGTTTGAAGTTGGGAAATATGATGCCAATGGATTTGTTTTTGTTTAGGATTTCTTTGGCTGTTTGGGCTTTTTTTTTTGGTTCCCTGTGAATTTTAGAATTTTTTTTTCTGTTTTTGTGAAAAATGACATTGATAATTTGATAGGAAGAGTGTAGAATCTGTAGATTGCTTTCAGAAGTATGACCATTTTAATGACATTGATTCTTCCAATCCAAGAAGACAAATGTTTTTCCACTTGTCTGTGGAATCTCTGGTTTTTTAAATCAGCGTTTTGTAGTTCTCCTTGTAGAGATATTTTACCTCTTTGGTTAGATGTAGTCCTAGATTTTTTATTTTTTGTATGTGTGTGGCTATTGCTAATGGAATTGCATTCTTAATTTGGCTCTCAGCTTGAACATTATTGGCGTATAGATGTATTACTGATTTTTGAACAATAATTTTGAATCCTGAAACTTTACTGAAGTTGCTTATCAGGTTTAGGAGCCTTTTAGAAGATTCTTTAGGGTTTTCTAGATATAGAATCATATCAGCAAAGAGAGATAGTTCGACTTCCTCTTTTCCTATTTGGATGCCTTTTCTTTCTTTCCCTTGCAGGATTGCTCTGGCTAGAAATTCCTATTTTTATTTTTGAGACAGTGTCTCACTGTGTCATCCAGGCTGGAATGCAGTGGTGCACTCATAGCTCACTCCAGCCTCAAACTCCTGGGCTCAAGTGATCCTCCTGCCTCAGCTTCCCAAGTACCTAGGACTACAGGCATGCATCACCACACTCAGTTAATATTTTTTATTTTTTGTTCTCGCTATGTTGCCCAGGTTCTTGTTATGTTGCCCAGGCTGGTCATGGACTGCTGGTCTGAAGCAATCCTCCCTCCTTGGCCTCCCAAAGTGGTAGGATTATAGGCGTGAGCTGTGGCACCTGGCCCAGAGATTTTAGTACCTTAACCAAGATGGTACTGATTGTAAGTGGAGAAGCCAGATTCCAACCCCAGCTAAATGTACTTGATCTCTACCCCATGTTGCTTCCTGGGAGTCATTTTTATTTGTTTGTTATATTCTTAAAGTATTGTTTTCTACTCCTTCCGAAGGTTCCTTGTTCTTAATGTTTCCAAAAGCTAAGATAAAATTCACAATTCTGGATTCATGCATGGTGTGAGTCAATAGGTGAGCGAGAGTGATATAGATATGAGGATTTCCAGTAATTTCCCCTGGAATATTTGTAGTGAAGAGAGAAGTTAGACACATTCTTTCATCTCCTTGAATGCTGCAATTAACTCAAACTTTGGCATTTCTACACTGGCCCAGAAGGAAACTGTGATTCTCATCATTTTAATCCAGTGTGTAGCCATAGTAGTCATTGCTTAACAGAGCAGCGCTCATTCTGTTATGACAAATTAGTGCCTGGGATCTCACTAGTTGTCAAAGGATCTTCTCTGAATGAATGCAGAATGTAAAAATGTGTACATCCAAAAAGCTGGTGAGTCATTGCCACCTGGTGGTTAAAGAGATTTAACCTTTTATGTAGGTAGAGGAATCAGTAATACCATGCCTGGTTTGCTACTTTACTGGATCAACTGACTTTTGGCATTGGAGATACTTATTTAGTAATAGATGGTTTTAAATGTTAAATAGAGTCAGTTCTTACCCCGAATTCATTTCCATACCTCAATTCCTCCAAGTACCTCAGTTCTTTCTTCTTACATCACTTGTGTTTTTTCCAAGATATTGGAAAACTATCTAACCAAAGCTTCAGATTTAGGACTCTACACACTGTAGTCCATTCAGCGGCAGACTTCATTATGTGTGAATATATCTTGATTGCCCTGAAGACATGGCTCTAAATTCTTCAAGGCTGTCATTCAAAGACTTGTGGTTTCTGAAGAGATTTGGTGTCTAATATAGGAATCTATATCTATATCTATCTATCTATGTAGATATAGATATACACACTTATACTCCAATGCTGGTTGGTATATTCATAATATAGCAAAAGCCAACCAGATGGGTCTTTTGAAGTCCAGAAAAAATGAATATTATAATAAATATCTAAATTATGAGATGAAGATAATAATGACTCACATATGACATTACATCAAGTTATAAAAATGAGAACCAATCAAAAATTTATAAAACTGGTTGCTATGGTTTCAATGTCCCCTTCCCCTCCAAAATTTATGTTGAAAGCTAATCCCCAATGTGACAGCATTGAGATGTTGTTCCTTTAAGAGGTGACTGAATCATGAGTGTTCTGCCTGCAGGAATGGATTTGGATTAATGGGTTAATGGATTAATGGGCTATTGGGAGAGTACGGCTGGTAGCTTTTTAAGAAGAGGAAGAGAGGCCTTAGCTAGCATGCTCAGCCTCCTAGCCATGGGATGCCCTATCTCCTCTCAGGACTCTGCAGTGTCCTTTCTAGCAAGGAGGCTCTTATTGGATGTAGCACCTCAGCCTTAGACTTCTCAGCCTCCAACAGGTATTCTGGTATAAGCAACAGAAAATGGACCAAGACACTGGGTACCTATTGATTATAATGCTTCTGATTTTATTTAATATCAAGGTGATAGTATGTAGAAAAAAAGACCATGGTACTTATAAGAAAGAAATCCTTTACTTAAAAATGCAATGATAGGATGGGGGCGGTAGCTTAGGCCTGTAATCCCAGCACTTTGGGAGGCCAAGGCGAGCAGATCACCTGAGGTCAAGAGTTCAAGACCAGACTGGCCAACATGGTCAGTCGCTACTAAAAAAGAAAAAAATAATAAAAAAAATTAGCTGGGTGTGGTGGCATGCACCTGTAGTTCCAGCTACTCAGGGGACTGAGGCAGGAGAATCGCTTGAACCGAGAGGATGAGGTTGCAGTGAGCCAAGATCGGGTCACTTCATTCGAGCCTGCCTGGGTGACAGAACAAGACTCTGTCTCAAGAGAAAAAAAAAGAGTAACAAAGAGACTATTTTACTCATTTCTCAAAGTCTGCCCCAAGACAACAATAGAGTGTTGGATAAATCTACATGAATGTAATCAGCAATCCATGTTCCTACTTTCCTTGGCAATTTTCTCTCTCCATAGTTGCAGAAACATCATGGAAAATCATGTGTCTCAGATGACAGTTTTTCTTTTCTGTGATGGCAATAACATGGTATGCCCACTCTTTCTGTGTCAAAATGCCATCTCTGTGAAAGGTTCAGTACTTTTCATTTTGCACAGTGTGGGGTGCCTAGCATTAATCACTGTTGTGTTGTTCTTTCCTTAGCAGTGACAGAAGTTATCTGAGAAAGCATTTAAAATTAATAAACTTATATTTTCTGAAATCATATTGAAATGTACCACATTATCACTGTTATTATTAGACAACCACAAAGGAAAGCCTTGTACCATTGAGCTAAATAGATAATACTTTGACAATCCATTTTAGAAAACGTACTTACCTCCTCATCTTCAACTCTGATTTCACAACATATATATATATATATATATATATATTTTTTCTAGCTATATAATCGTGCACAAAATTGCAATAAAAGGGAGTTAGATACCCTGTCCCTTTTTGCCAGCACTGCATTTCATTGTCCATTGTATTTCTACAGGATCCCATAAAGACAGTCATGCATCAGCAGGAAAATATACTTTCTAACATTCAAAGTCAATGATGCAGATAATAGGGAACCAGCATCCTCAGTGTGGGATACGAACTGTCCTCAGTCCCTAGCCCAGATGTTGGTAACAACCAATAAACTGTATTATACACATATATTTTAAAAAGCAGCTTAAAGGAATGGCCTGCTTAGCTAGATTTATTAGGCGAGATCTTTAATATGCCATATGGCAGCTTGGCTCTTCCAAGCAGTGCAGCCCTGTGAAGGAATGTATTGAAGTGAGATGACCAGCCCCGGCACAAGCAATGATGACTCCCCAGGGAAACAAGTGCTTGCTGCAGGATTTTTCACCAGTGTCACCCATGATATGTGTCTGAGTAGTACATTATGCCTCAATAAGTTTTCATTCAGAGCTGGGACCTCCATTATCCCTACTGTTTAGAGAAATCTCTAGACATCTTTGGGATGGGGGCCTGTGAGAAACAGAGGGCAGGGCTGATATCCATCATGTTATTTAACATAGCTTCTGACTTTTATTGAGACACTTTCTGTAGGAAATACAAACTAGGGGATTTGCGAAGGTTTTAAAAGCTATTATTCAAGTAAATGGAAAAGTGGCATCATGTATGTTGTTTAGAATGCCAGGGAGTGCAAAACAGATTTTTCTTCTACTTGAAGATGGTTTTGTGAGAACTACTTTTCTTTATTAAAACGTCGTGCCTTCCACACATAAAGGCTTTTATTGGAATGATTTGTATCAACCCTTGTACTTCCTTTTCATTACGTGCAATATAGTTTTATCAATATTTTAAGCTGTTAGAGACTAGTCACTATGATATATGTATATTAACGGCATCTTTGCATGTTAAAAATGCAAACACACTTTTCTGGTCAAATGATGGGAAAAAAATTAGGTATTAAACATTATTTTTATTATCTAGTATTTTTTTTTGTTTTGTAAATACTTTAGGTTCTTGCTATGTCCAGGAGCTGGAGTTATTAAAAAGGGATTCCAAAACATGTTTTCTAAATGCAAACTCAGTGAATAGAGGAAAATTTAGCCATGAAAACAATACACATCACTTATGTCATAATTCTGTTAAGATGAAAAACCTGAATCTAAAATATCAAGAAAACACAATTTGAGGAACATTCTAAAAAAATAAATAACCAGCCTATAATTTCAAAATTACCAATGTTATAAAAATTGAGGAAAGACTAAAGTGCTTCTAGAATGAAGGAGATAAAAGAGACATGAAAATTGAATAAAGTTTATTTTTTGAACTGGATGTGTTTTTGCCATTTGAATACATTGTTGGTGCAATTGATGAAATTTCACTGGGGTCTGTGGAATAGAGGAAAATATTACATAAGTGAAAATTTACTGATTTCTATGATTGTATTGTAGTTATATATGAAATATCCTTTTTTTGGTAGGAGATTCAAATAAAATAGGAGTAATGAAGCATCATGTTAAAATTGCATTCTCATATGGTTATTTTAAGAATATTCTTGATACCATTCTTTCAACTTTTCTCTAAATTGAAATTGTTTAAAAATAAAATAAAATAAAGCTAATATTCTGATTTTTAAAATGTTAGATGGCCCCATGAAAATGATAGCAATAGTTAATTTAATCAGTAAAGCACATCCACATCTACAAAGTACATAAAAGTTATAACTAATTACTTATTAATTCTGAAGTATATTAGTAATATAAAATTGAGATAATTATAAAATATATGGTTATGATATTTAATGTTTTAATTTGTTGTTAAACTAATTAATTTTAGATAATGAACTGTGTAAATGCCACAGAAACGGTCATGGAAGTATTATGCTATTGTAATACAGTGCATGTTGTTCAATTCAATAAAAAGTTTCTCATTAACTTTTTAAATTCAATTTTCTCTTTGTAGCAAGGCCAATTTCATCTATAAATATAATGTTTTTGACAGAAAACTTGTAATGCTGTAGATACTGTCTTGTTTAGCCTTTGAGCATTAACTGATACTTGAGTAGTGATATTTGCAGAAGAGCCGCTATGGTTTCAGGTTGACAAGTCATTAGCTCTTCTTTCCCTAAAGCAACTACAAAACAATTCACATGGAAATTTTACAATTAGATTCTGCCTTTCCGCTTAGCTCCTTACTATTTATTACTTCATTTCTCCCCTGGAACCTTTGGATTCTTTAAATATCACTAATATATTTGTTTTTTTTCTCTGCCATTTTTTTAATTGATGGGCAATTAATTGTGGAATAATAAACCCAACATGGACATACATTCAGTTAAAGTGTGTTTATGTTTATTTTTAATAGCAGTTTCTTTTAATGTGGCAGGACATTTACTTGGGCTTTTGAGAAAAGGCCTGCTGAGTGAAACTATGTTGTTAATTGAGTAGTTAATGGGATGATTGGGTGTAGACTTTTTGCAATAATGAGTGAAGGGAAAATATAACTAAGCCTCAGGAGGGAATTGGTAAACATCTTTTGTATCATTAAGTTCAATGTCTATAGTCTTCTGAGATGCAGACATATAGACTCTTAGAAACTATGGGACTTGTCCATAGACCCTCAGGAATCATCAGTGTTTCATGCCAGCAGGAGTACTTCTGCTATCAATACAGTATCCTGTAGAAACAATGATTTAAGCAGTGACTTGGATCCTGATGAATCCTATTTTTACCCCTGTGTTTGGCTGAAGAGTAGTGCCCATACTTTTCTAAACCTTAGATGTCTTTTATAACAATATTTCTCAAAGTTCCTTATTAGTTTTACCAGGGATGCACCTTGACTTACAGTTGCTTTACTTGTTTGCCTGCTTCCACTCCCCATGTATGCTCCTGGGCTCTTACCATTCCCCAGCTCATGTGCAAGATCAGGAGTTCTAACATGAACAAGCGCTGAATGTGCGTAGCTGCAGAATTGGTAGAGAAGGGGCAGAGGTCCCTCACTACTAAGGGTAAGGTCTTCTTCTGGGGGTTGAGACGGGGGATATGGGTTTGAGAAATGGAAGAAGGTCAGGAAATTCCACTGGTGAAGTCATATTACCTCTGGTAGAAGTACTAAATATAGATTAAGGGCCCTTATAAATATCATATTGAGACAAACTCTGAGTTTCTAAAAAGAACTTTTTCTTTGAAACTTTTAAACTTCTTCATTATTTTTATTTATTTATTTTTTAATTATACTTTAAGTTTTAGGGTACATGTGCACAACATGCAGGTTTGTTACATATGCATACGTGTGCCATGTTGGTGTGCTGCACCCATTAACTCATCATTTACATTAGGTATATCTCCTAATGCTATCCCTCCCCCTCCTCCCACCCCACAACAGGCCCCGGTGTGTGATGTTCCCCTTCCTGTGTCCATGTGTTCTCATTGTTCAATTCCCACCTATGAGTGAGAATATGCGTTGTTTGGTCTTTTGTCCTTGCGATAGTTTGCTGAGAATGGTGGTTTCCAGCTTCACCCATGTCCCTACAAAGGACATGAACTCATCATTTTTTATGGCTGCATAGTATTCCATGGTGTATATTTGCCGCATTTTCTTAATCCAGTCTATCATTGTTGGACTTTTGGGTTGGTTCCATGTCTTTGCTATTGTGAATAGTGGTGCAATAAACATACGTGTGCATGTGTCTTCATAGCAGCATGATTTATAATCCTTTGAATCCTTTGGGTATATACCCAGTAATGGGATGGCTGGGTCAAATGGTATTTCTGGTTCTAGATCCCTGAGGAATCGCCACACTGACTTCCACAATGGTTGAACTAGTTTACAGTCCCACCAACAGTGTAAAAGTGTTCCTATTTCTCCACATCCTCTCCAGCACCTGTTGTTCCTGACGTTTTAATGATCGCCATTCTAACTGCTGTGAGATGGTATCTCATTGTGGTTTTGATTTGCATTTCTCTGATGGCCAGTGATGATGAGCATTCAACAAAATTCATAGACTGCAAGCAAGATTAATAAAGAAGAAAACAGAGAAGAATCAAATAGATGCAATAAAAAATGATAAAGGGGATATCACCACCGATCCCACAGAAATACAAACTACCATCAGAGAATACTATAAACACCTCTACACAAAGAAACTTGAAAATCTAGAAGAAATGGATACATTCCTCGACACATACACCCTCCCAAGACTAAACCAGGAAGAAGTTGAATCTCTGAATAGACCAATAACAGGCTCTGAAATTGAGGCAATAATTAATAGCTTACCAACCAAAAAAATCCAGGACCAGATGGATTCACGGCCAAATTCTACCAGAGGTACAAGGAGGAGCTGGTACCATTCCTTCTGAAACGATTCCAAACTCTAGAAAAAGAGAGAATCCTCCCTAACTCATTTTATGAGGCCAGCATCATCCTGATACCAAAGCCTGGCAGAGACACAACAAAAAAAGAGAATTTTACACCAATATCCCTGATGAACATCGATGCAAATTATTTTTATTTCAATAATTTTATCTTGGCAGTCCATGTGAGCCAAGAAACCTGGATGGAAATGAACTTTTAATCCTACATTAGCAATTTTAAGCATAATCATCTTAATTTTTCCTTTGACCCTCAAGCTGTTGTGAATTAAGTGGTCTGTTTGTACAGACACTGCCACTCCATACCTAAAACATTGCTTCTCTTTCTTTTCTCCTCAGAGGAACATTTTCAGAGATTCAACAATGTTTTTCTTTCCCTTTGACAGGCAGAACAGTTGTATTCAGTCTTTTTTCATCCAGGTTTTCTATCCTGAACAGATTAGAAACGGTGTGTTCCACTGAGAATAAAGGGGCCAAGCTGCTGCTACAGCGATGTTTCTGTAGGACACCAGCTACCAGGGCACCTTGAGGCATCTGTTGCAGAATTGCAGCCACAAAATAGACCGCCTGTGATAGGGACCCTGTTAGAGCCCAAGCAACTGGCAGGAAACTTGCCTCACATCAGTGAACTTTGCATCAGAAGCACTGCATCTTTAGTGACCTGCACAGATACAAACAGGAGTCCAGTGGGAGGATGGAGGAAGTGTCTTCTTCCCTCTGCTCTCGAGGAATTATCCTTCTTCTTGAGATGAGTTTAATAGAACTAAGTGAGTTGATATGAAAAATTTTAGAAGTCATACGAGGATTATGAATATTGTAAGCTTATTATATCCATAGTTTTTAAAATAAAGGGCAAAAAGGAAAAGAATATTATTTACTTTCCTTGTTTTATATTTTAATGATGGTAATATTTTATGTTTCCTAGTAGGTATCTAGCAACTAGGTGCAGGTATGTGCGAAGAATTTGTTAATTTTTCTGTATTTCAGGAGTATAGGTCAGAAAGAAAGGAAATTGTCTGAAGTTTAACTTTCTTACTTCATTATGACAAGATCATTTTGGCATTCTAAATATATATTAGCTTTATATACACACATTTGTATATAAAAATATTGATATGTTATTAAAAACAGATGATACTGAGGACTTATTTTTTAACAAAATTGTTTCATATTTCGGCACATTCAGTGTGGCAATGCATTTAAATTCTAAAAGGGTTTTGATGAAGAGAATTTTTAGAGCTAAAATAAATGTTGTTTTAAGCAGAATATTTTCAAAGAAAAGAACCTTGTCAAGAAACTTGCAGTAGTAATAAAAGTGTTCAAACTTTTCAGTCTGGTAAACTTTCTGGAAGCAGCTGTGCTGTTGCATTTGGGTAAAATATGAAACGTCAATTTGAAAATTAGTGTTTAATGGGAGGGGGAGATTTCTTTTCATGGGACTTAAACATCTGGTTTTAAGTTGTTAAATAATTGAAATATTGATGAATATCACTGATTATTTAAACTTGGCCAAATTGTAAAAATTTGGAGAAGCTTCTGACTTCCCAAACCAAAAGTTTTATTAAAATGGATTATAAATATTAAAAATGATGGACAAAGAGGAAGTAAATCATCTAAACTTTCTCCAAAATTTAAAAAACTCAGTGAATATGCTTATTAAAACTGAAATTTTGCTGTAACTTTTATAGCTGCTCTAAGTCAGCTTCTGGTGGTGTGCTTATTTTTACACATAGAAGTAAAAGTCCAGTAATGTTGAATTGGATGGTACAATTTCTTTTGAGTCAAGTACAAGTTTATATTTTTTCATTATATGTATAAGCATGCCCCAAACTATGATTTAGTTACATCTAAATGTAATTTGTTGGCTGCTTTTGGAAATCAAAACAGTATGCTGTAGAACCAATGATTTAAGCAGTGATTTGGATCCTGATGAATCTTATTTTTACCCCTGTATTTGGCTGAAGTACAGTACTTTTCTAAACGTTAGGTGTCATTTATAACAATATTTCTCAAAGTTCTTTCTTAGTTTTACTAGTGATATGCCTTGACCCACAGCTGCTTTTTTTGTTTGCCTGCTTCCACTCCCCATGTATGCTCCTGGGCTCTTACCATTCCCCAGCTCATGTGCAAGATCAGGAGTTCTACCAGGAACAAGTGCTGAATGTGCATAGCTGCAGAATTGGTAGGGAAGGGGCAGAGGTCCCTCACTACTAAGGGTAAGGTCTTCTTCTGGGGGTTGAGACGGGGGATATGGGTTTGAGAAATGGAAGAAGGTCAGGAAATTCCACTGGTGAAGTCAGATTACCTCTGGTAGAAGAAACATGTCAATGTCAGTGGAAGGTTTTGGGAGGCTTGCTATTCAAAGAGTGGTCTTGTGGCCCACAAATCAGCATCACCAAGGATCTTGTTAGGAAAGCAGACTCTCTGCCCCCACCCTAGACCGACTGAATTAGCATCGTTATCTTACCTAGAGAAGCATTTAATATGAGAAACACTAGTTGGGAAGAGTGTAGGGCATGAATCGGGGGGACATTGTATGTTCCCACTGGGCTTTTAATCAGACCAGCTTATCCACATACCTTACAGAAAGGTTGTGGGATTGTCTCAGGAAGTTGGCCTAGATCCTCTTGCCTTTCTCTGAATCACTGAAGCTCTTATTATAATTTCTTCTGTCTTCTGATTAATGTTTTCAACCACCATCCTGAGTCTTTGCCTGTTGGGCTTGGCTTTTGCCTGTGTATTAACTCTCAGGTCCTCTTCAAGGTCTTGATGTATTCTCTGATGACATTTTGTTCTTTGAATGACCATTGGCTTTTATTTTTCCTCCCTCCCCCAACTTGACTTCTAAGGTTCCAGTAGGCCAATATAGCCATACCTGGTAGTCTTGCTACACTCTTCAAAGAGGGATTAAGACCATGCTAGGTATCCCTTTGAGGATACAGAACTGTAAAATGGACTGATAACCACAGTACACATCTCATAAAGATTAAGTTAAAACACTTAGAATAGTCCTTGGTGCATATTAGTGACAAATAAATGTTCTAAACATATTTGGGAAGTAAAGATAGTCAACAAATATTTGTCAATTCTTTGAGATACTTGTGAGTTCCTTTCCACTATCTGCCTACCCATACAGCTGGTATAAATGTTGGTTATACAGGTAGGTGTTGATCTGAATTTCTAGAGGGTCCTCTATTTAGATTTTAATAAAGTTAAAAATATTATATACTTATTTTTTTGCATGCAGTGTATATTCCTCTGAGGTCAGATGTGTTTATTATAGCTTTTAGTAGTTTTCAAAATCAATAGGGTTACTATTTAAGTCATCCATTCACCTAGCTTTGAGCTCAAAAGGAAAACATGCCCCATGAACTGGTTAGATACATGAGAAGGTGCATGGGCAGTGAATATCTAAACTTTTGACTTATCAGATGGAAATTTAGAACCTGAAATGGTAAGTTAGATAGTGATTATATGAATTAGAGATCTTTAAAGGGTTCATGTAAAAGCCAGAGCTTGATATATCTGAGGGCAAAATATAGATATTCTGAAATAAATCCCACTTGCAAACATACATTACAAATTTTTGTTTGTAATCAATACTATAATCAAGGATTACTTCATTACTTTAAATCCTGCTTTCTCAATGAGCTCACTGACATTTACAGTTATTTATGTTTGCTTAGTACCAGAAGAAAATTCACTTGATATAAGTGATGTCATATAATAAAATGACTTGATTGCATAGTTGAAATTATATCCTCTGGGTTCATTCACAAAACAGCTACACTTTAAAAATTGTAAGTGCTTAGGCATGCAATAAAGGCTAGAGGAAATCATTGTCCTTATAGTGTTGAATCAGCATTTTCATGGGTTTTTTTTTTTTTTTTTAATCTTAGAATTTGAGCTAAACGCCCAGCAATGTCTTGTAGCAGAGAAAGATTTCAAAGCCAAGTTCTTTTTACTATATGTTTCAAAGCCAAGGCCTCTCAATAATGTAGCAATTATTTTTTAAATAGCCTTGAAGATTTGTGATCTTGGGTATGGAATATCTAATAAGAATTGATTACTTTTATTCCGTTCTAATTTAATTTTACTCTTTGTGCTTTTTATGCTTAATGCTTTTATGTTAAAAATCAAATAAAGTAATCCAAGAAGACATTCATCAACTCATAGAATTACACCCTTTTCTATTCTTAGAAAAAATTCAGTCAAGATGGTTGACCTGAATGTTTGCTTAAAACATGTTATTAGTAGTATAGTATTTTATAACCAAAGTATAATTCTCACTGTCAGCTCTGTATTTGTCATCTAGGTATCGAGAGCAATCATGGGGTAAGATGGAAAGGGGTAGAATTTGGGTACCATACAGAACTGGGTTCAAGAGGTGGCTTTTGCCATTTGTTGTTTGAATAATACTGAATAATTTTCTTGACTACTTAATACTTCAGTTTTCTCACCTATAAAGTTAGTGATGATGAGTCTTACTCGATGAGATTATTGTGAGGATTAAATAAAATAATTGATAATAGAAGGCTTGTCACAGAGGAGATTTGCAGGCAATGCTGCTTCTCTTTATTGTGTTATGCACAGATTTGAACTTGAAAGTGAAGCAGAGAGGCGGTCATCCTGAAATTTTCAGAACTCACCAACATTTTTCATTAGCCCTCCCTACCGTCATTACCCAAGGTGGAAATTCAAATTCAGCTTGCCCCTAAACCATTGGTCCCCAACCTTTTTGGCTCCAGGGACCTGTTTCGTGGAGGGCAATGTTTGCACGAATGAGAGTTTGGGGGTTTGAGGGGATAGTTTCAGGATGAAACTGTTCCACCTCAGATCATCAGGCATTAGTTACATTCTCATAAGGAGCGCACAACCTAGATCCTTTGCATCCGCATTTTACAATAGGGTTTATGTGCCTATGAGAATCTAATGCCTGCTGATCTGACAGGAGATGGAGCTCAGGCAGTATTGCTGGCTCACCCACTGCTCACCTCCTGCTGTATGGCCCGGTTCCTAACAGGCCACAGATGAATACTGATCTATGGCTCGGGGATTGGGGAACCTGCCCTAAACTTTTTTCTAGCCATATCTCAGTCCCTTAAAAGTAACTTTATTCCAACCAAAGGGTATCCTCACTGGGCCCTACTTTTGATATCTTTTTGTCCTTATTTGTCTTGATGAGATTATTTTTCATCCTTCCTCTTTAATTACCGTTCTTCTGGTAAGGTCCAGCTCATGGGGTATCTTTTTATGATTATCTAAAGACTCAAATCCACACAGTTGTCTGCTTTCTGTGACTTTTCAGCACTTATTGCCTACACAGCTTGTTAGGTACTTAATCATACCAAGCCTTATGTTAGTAAAATCAGTGACAGCTGGGCATACAGTTCTTACTCACGCAGAGCCAGGCACCTAAGACACCCTCCGTTCATATTTATTGAAAAATGCCTTTCATTAGCATAATTATTTTGGATATTGTTTAGTCATTATTTTGTACCTGTTTTGTGATCAGAGTCAGAGCTGAAGAATAATGTCTTAAACAAGATAGCACTTCATGAAAAGTCTCTTGCAAAAGTCGAGTTGAGGCAATCCAGGCTGGTGTGGCACATGCAGTGTAGATCATGTAGGATCCAACACACTGATGATGGTTTTCTGCTCCTTCATTTCTATAGTGTATTCCAGTCCTCCCTGTGCAGCCACTGTGTCCATGTTCCATTGCAGTAGTTTAGAGAAGGTAGGAAAGTGGAGAAAGCCCAAGCTGCAACTCTCTTTATAGGACAGTGTCTGGGAGTTGCCACTTCACAGCACTGCTTACATTTCAGTCATGGGGGCCTTATCTAGCTGTGAGTGAGGCGGGGACATTCTGGGCATCTGTACTAAAAGATGAGTGCGTTCTATTATATTAAAAAAGATTGAATATTAGGGGAAGTGGTGTTAACAGTCTCTGCCACACATTTTAAAATATCTAGCTGGATAGTAAGTTGCCTGAGGGCAGGGATGTCAACTCACCGTATACCTTGCAACAGGTCATGGATAGAAAAACACACATTTTCAGAAACCTTGTAAGGAAGATAGAAGTTTACCTCATTTGCACCATTGATATCATTCTTTCAAATACATAAGTTTTGTTTGCACTTCTGATATTAGAGAATAACAAGATGAAGAAGCAGAACAGGTTTTATTTTGAGATCAATGAGAGAAACATGCCAGTTTCCATTTAACAGCACCTCACAGGATGGCAGGGTTTTCATAGGATAAACAGAGGTCAGGGCAAAGACCAGAAACTAGATTTTTGTCAGGGTATCTGGAGTTTATTTAATAGAGAAAGAGTGGCACATGCTTTCCAAATTTACAAGAAACTTGCATATAAACTGGAATTCCAGTTGAATTTATACTGTGCAATTTGTGGCTCATTTTTAGTGCTTGTAATACTTTTGTTTGTTGTTTTGCATTGATAAATATCATGATGCATGGAAATCTGCCTTAGTAACTGGAATGTTCCTGGTAATCAGTCAAGCAGAGCAAAATAAAAGTGATAGTCTTGAGGAATATCTAAAGCCCTGGAGATTTTTGATGAGCATCCCTGCCCCATCTCCTCCCACCCCACAAAGTGAAAATCTTTCTAGTGCTGATGATAAGGCCCCCAGATACTCTGCCTCTCCCCAGGCATAGAGTCAGGTTAACACAGCTTAGTTTTTACCCGCTGACTTCTTTAATTGATTTCATGGTAAACTCATCTCTCTGTTCATACATTAGTGAGATACAGGAATACCCATTACTTTCTCTTATATTTCTCAGCTCTTCTTTCCATGCTCTATTCAATCAGATTTTTGGCCAGGGAGATTTTGACTCCTTAATAAGTGACTCCCAGACACAGTAAGTGTGAATCTCACCACTCAATGGGTAATCTATTTCTTCCAAGTTTGGGAGGCTTCCTGTAGAGTTTTTTCTATTTTACCGCTATGGTATACTTACAAAATAATATCTTGATTGGTGCTTAAGTTTGGGAGACATAAAATATACCACAAAGGAGTGGTTTATATTTTCTCTGGAATTAATTAAATCTCAGATAAAAATCTCTTCGTCTATTATTATTATCTAGAATGATTCTTAGAAGGGAATATCCATATTCTAGAAGCCCCTGTGGTGTGGGGGAAGGAGAGGAAAACGAATGGGAGCAGCAGCAGCAGCTCTCCATAACTTGAGTTTACATGAACCCCTGCTCTCTTTTCATATTCTTCTGTAAAGTCTTGTAATATGTTCATGTTCTCCTATATCCCTCCACGCCTTCCTCTCCTACTCTATTTCTCTTTCTTTCTTTTTTTTGTTTTTTGTTTTTTAAACAATCAAGACCTAAATGACAGCTGTACCCCAAAGTGTTTTGAGATAATGGTTGCTTAAAATGGCTTAATGGATGCTGGGTAGCAAAATGCTGTTTTATCTTTTTAAATCTTTGTTCCCAAATATATGACCAAAGGAGAGTAACAACAAATCCACCGACAGTAGAAAATCAGGGACAATATGTTGTTTTCTAAAAAGTAAAACTGAGTGATATTTTCATGCAAAATAGAAATTTTGACATGTTGCATTTTCATGCAAATGACATGCTGGCCCTAAAGCATTTGAAGTTCAAGTTAACATGTATCTAAAAGCTGAACTTTCTACTAGGAATAATATTGGTCTTAGAATTAACTAAAAGATGTGAACCAAGTGAGCAATGTGGAATCTTATCTATATAAGAAAAAACATTGGTCTTTACTGGTGTGTGTAGAGATTTGTCATAGGGAAATCAGATTGACCTATTCACCATCTGAGCAGCATATACTATGTGAGGTAGTCCATTTGGGCCCAGTGGAGTTCATCTGCTCTTTATACCTGATTCGCTTGTACAACTACCAGCTTAACCTGGGTTCTTACTTACTGTTATCTATTTTTTTTGTCCTCATAAATGTTACAAGCACATCTTGCTTATAAATTGTCAGTTAATTATTCACAAGGCATTAGAACTAATAAAAAAAGGTTTTATAAAATGCTGAGTTCCAATGAGTTTTAAATTGTATAGAATAGTTATACGAGAGAAAGAATAAAAAGAGATGTAGAGAAAAGACTGTAAAGACCTAGCATCTCATCACTTTTAGATATAAGTGAGTAATTTTCAACATAGCAGGAGGGATTGGTTAGCAAAAAGTGAAGAAGAAGCACCCATTATTATTTGTCTGGGAAACACTTGTTTAAAAAAAACACAGCTTGGCAAATTATCCCTAGCTGGTGACAATACTTAATTTCTAAAACCCTGCACTCATATCCCATCCAGGAAATTCTCAAAGAGGGTAATTTTGAATGGAAAATTAGTCCATACTCAAAGAGTGTGAAGTTTGTATATTTATTAAAAGGAACCACAGATGAGCAAATTTGAAAAACCCTATTGTAGACCTAATTATGTGTTCGTCGTGGAAACTTTTTTTTCCTAGGCCCCACCCTCAGTGATTCTGATACAGTAGCAAGACTGGATTCAAATCTGGGAATCTAAACGCTATATTCTCTTTGAGATTGGGAACACATCTGCATTTTCTGAATATATAGCATAGGCATGCCCTATTGTGCAGAGCAAATACGTGTCTGTTGAATAAATGCACTTTTTATATCATGAACAAATGTGTATTAATGGGGCTCTTTCACAGTGCAAGGGATAGCAACTTGTTCAGCTTATCTTATTTAAAAACGGTGATAGTAGACCTGAGGGTAAAGGGTAGGGTGGCCAGAATTCTTGTGCCAGATCAACTCATAGGCTTCTGCTGAAATATGCTTTGCTGATTTTATTATTCATGTCCTGCTTTGGGGTCTTATTAATTGGAATAACAGACTTCCTTAGATAAAAGCATGACTGCATGGAAAGTGATGGTGAAATGTTAATCAATCTGTATAGACTTCTGTCTGAGAATGTCCTGTGTCAAGGAAATATGTCCAGAGGTCCCATGCTGACAAAGCGTGATGGGGTCAAAGATCTTGTATTGGATTAATGTGCATGAGGACAGGGAATGGAGGAGATGAGAAAAAACAGACGTAAAGTGTCAAAGGATTTTGGAACTGACTACTGGAAACTATGCCCTAACACAGATGCCAAGGCGTGAATAGCATAGGCATGGCCGACTTCATAGGCTAGGATGCAGATAACATCCACAAGTAGCATTCTAAAGTGAAATGCACTTTGATACATGCATTTGCAGGTTGTAAAGTCTATTCCTTTCAAGCTATTCTTATCATTTAAATATTTGGTAAACAAAAGTGTTTACTAATTTCTGGGATGGGGAAGCTGGAAGGGGAGAAGCAATTCTAATGGCTTTTGACATGCAGCTAAAATCCTTGGATGTTGCAACTACCCCCAGAGATTGTGCTGGGAAGGACTGCTATAGCACCATCCCAGAGAACTGGTGCCCCAGATAACAGGAGGCAAGTTCAGAAGGACTATCAGTGGCTGGGAGATGGTGGGTTCCAGTATGGAAAATCAGCACCCTTTCTTAGATCATTCTCAATGAAGGAGTTCAATGATTTCTCCTAAGATTTTATCTCTTTTAAACTTCACTGTATATTGAGAAGTATTATTTATGGCAAGGAAATATCTCTGCAGTAATGGAGTGTTTCTATGAACAAGACACATGGTCTTCTCTTTCTTCAAGGTGTTTTGAAGCATAAAAATTTTGATGAAGTCCATTTTATCATTTTTTTCTTTTTTATTTTCACTTATGCTTTAAGTGTCATATGTAAAAACACATTGTTATTCCAAGACCACAGAGATTTATCTCTACATGTTTTTTTCTAAAAGTTTTACAATTTTAGCTCTTACGTTAGATCTGTGACCATTCTGAGTTAATTTTTGTGAATGATGTGAGATAGAATTCAGTTGAAATTCTATTGCATTGATCTATACATCTTTACTGTGCCAGCCAGCACCACACTTGTCTTGATTACTGTAGCTGTGTACTAAGTTTTGGAATCGGGAAGAGTGAGTCTTCCCACCTCGTTATTTTTAAAGATTGTTTGTGGATTCCTCGTCTCTTGCATTTGCATATACATTTTAGGATCAACATCATTTTCTGCAAGAAAAAAAAAGGCAGCTGGGTTTCAATAGAGACTGCACTGAAACCGTAGAGGAATGTGGGGATTATTGCCATTTAAGTATTATTAAACCTTCTGATGAATGCACATGGGATGTCTTTCCATTCATTTAGGTCCTCTTTAGTTATTTTTCCCAACACTTGTATCATTTTGTGTATTTTTTGTGTGAATAAGTCCTATCCTCCTTTCATGAAATTTATTTCTAAGGTTTAATCTTTTTGATTCTATTGTAAATGGGATCGTTTTCTTAATCTCCCTTTTGGATTGTTATTGTTCATTGCTAGTGTAGAGAAATCTCATTGATCTTGAATTTTGCAACCTTTCAATCCTGATCTTCTGTGAGGATCTTATATCCTGAGCTCATTTATTAGTTTACTATTTTTAGTGGATTCATAATTCTGTATCTCTACAAGTTTATGTCATATGTAATTAGAGATAGCTTTACTTCTTCTTTGTTAATCTGGATTCCTTTTTCTTTTTCCTGCCTAATGCCCAGCTGTCTTGGCTAGAACCTCCACTATAATGTTGAATAGAGGCTGAAAGAGCCAACATCCTTTCTTGTTCCTGCTCTTAGAGGGAAAGCTTTCAGTCTTTTATTAGTAGGTATGATTTTGGAGATGGGTTTTTTATAGATACATTTTGTCAGATTAAGGAAGTTCCCTTCTATTACAGCAACTCTGAATACAGATTCCTCTTAGAGATTGTCCTTATTGTTCGTTTTGTTGCCTTTTATTTGTTGAGTTCTTGCTGTACTAGTATTTGTCTTGAACTGGTACTTTTGCTGGGTTACCTAGACAGCCCACTATAGATCTGCAGAGTCTGGAACGATGGAATCTGCTGATGTCCACCAGCTACCAAATCTACCTGGAATTACTTTTCCAGCTCATTGAGTTCAGGGAAAAGAGAGCTGCCACCCAGCTGTGGAGCTGCTGGAGCAGTTTTTCCACATGGCTTAGCTGTCGGGGACAGGTGCAGTACCTAACTGGAATGCCACTGCCTGACGCTGCTTTTACTGAGTTTCCTTAGATTTTGTGGAGTAAATGCTTCTCAATTCGCTGTAAGCCCTTTGAGTAATCTCCAGACATTGAATGAGTACCATTGCTAATTTTGACCAGGTTAATAGATGACTTCCTGGGAAAGTTTTCTGCAAGCCCTTCACACTGCCATTCTGGAAGTTGTGATTTTCCTACCCTTCCTTAGAGTTTTCAGTACCTAGGGGGTATTTAGAAGGACACGTTTTGCTAATACATGAAGAAAAGGAGATTTCTCCAGGTTACTACGTACTTTCTTGCTTCAGATTTATGACTAAGGAAGACTACTCAAGTTTTTTTTCTTAATAATGATAATTGTTCAGTTCCCACCTATGAGTGAGAACATGTGGTGTTTGGTTTTCTGTCCTTGCGATAGTTTGCTCAGAATGATGGTTTCCAGCTTCATCCAGAACAATGAGAACACTTGGACACAGGGTGGGGAACATCACACACTGGGGCCTGTCATGGGGTGGGGGGAGGGATAGCATTAGGAGATATACCTAACGTAAATGAGGAGTTAATGGGTGCAGCACACCAACATGGCACATGTATACATATGTAACAAATCTGGACGTTGTGCACATGTACCCTAGAACTTAAAGTATAATAATAATAATAAAAAATAATAATTTTCCCCAAGGAGTCTTGGTGTCTCAACCTGTAGATCTGTGCAGTCCAATATGGTAGCCACTACCATATTGCAATATGCAATATGATGTGTCTGAATTGAGATGTACAGTAAACACATACTAGATTTCAAAAAATTACTGAAATTAGAATATAAAATCTCATTGATGGTTTTTATATTGCTTATGTGTTGGAATGGTAATATTTTGTATATGTTGGGTTAAATAAAATCTGTTACTAAATTATTTTGAGCTCTGACTTTTTACTTTCTTTTTTTTTAAGTGGTTACTGGGAATTCTACATTATATATGTTGCTCACGTTATATTTCTATTGGACAGCGCTGCCTTATATCACCCTATGCAATCAGCTGTGAAGAGAAGAGAATCAATAATATATCAGTTTTCCTCAGAAGGGATTGTGAGCTTAGCAGGCACACAAGATTTAATAGACTAGTTTTCATTACGGACATCTTCAAAATTTTGTGGCTTTCAGGATGGATTTCACTACATTAAGAGCTCAGATATGGAATAGCAAAAGATGTAGCCATGTGAGGTGGCTCACGCCTGTTATCCCAGCACTTTGGGAGGCTGAGGCGGGCGGATCATGAAGTCAGGAGATCGAGATCATCCTGGTTAATACGGTGAAACCCCTGGCTAACACAGTGAAACCCTGTTTCTACTAAAAATACAAAAAATTAGCCGGGCGTGGTGGCACATGCCTGTAGTCCCAGCTACTCGGGAGGCTGAGGCAGGAGAATCGCTTGAACCTGGGAGGCGACAGAGCGAGACTCCATCTCAAAAAAAACCCAAAAAGATGTATAAGTTAGTCTATTTAGCTATAACAATAATATTTATAATCTGTATTAAGTTTTTCATTTACAAATATTTTCATATTAATATATCTCATTTTTTTACCCCCATTTCATTTGGCGTAGGTGGGAATTATTATTTTACTCCCATTTCATTTGGCATAGGTGGGAATTATTAATATTATAACTCTTTTTAGGGTATTTTTAAGGTTAATTAGAACAAATACAGTAAAATAGCATCCTTTTTTTCTTGAGTCTTCTTATGACCAGATTTGATTCAATACGTATATTTGGACTTGTACTAACTTAAAGAACAGTGTTACCCAGAGGGATTAAAAAGCCTTTAATAAACTTTGGTCTACTAGGGAAAATAAGACAAATACACCAATGATTGTAATCTAATTTTGTGTTTAAGTTGATGGTTTGTTTTTGAGTAAGGAAGAATAAATTACCTCCTTTCTTTTTCCCACCGAAGGAATGATAACTAAGCCAAGAAGAAATCATGAAGGAGTGTAAAATTTTATTAAGATTTTTATTGGAACTTTGTTTATGATATATTAATAATTTAATGTCTCAATAGAGAATTGATTAAATGTGATATTCATATGAAGAATACTATGAATCATTTATAGTTATTTTCAGCATATTTCATGACCCAGACAACATTGATGATATATTGTTAAGCAGTACACATGGTTTAAATAGACATAGCATCATCATATTTTTAAATACTTACGTAAATATATAGTTATTCTATTCCTCTCATCTCTTCATATGTCTTCTATAGAGATGTCTATATCTAGATGTGTATGTGTAAATTTTATGTAGCTCTATTTCTATAAATAGGTATGATATTTTTTAAAAGTTACAGAATATTGGCTGGGTGTGGTGGCTCATGACTGTACTCCCAGCACTTTGGGAGGCTGAGGCGGGTGGATCACCTGAGGCTGGCAGTTTGAGACCAGCCTGACCAACATTGAGAAACCCCATCTCTAGTAAAAATACAAAATTAGCCAGGTGTCGTAGCGCATGCCTGTAATCACAGCTACTCGGGAGGCTGAGGCAGGAGAATCGCTTGAACTCGGGAGGTGGAGGTTGTGGTGAGCTGCGGCACTCCAGCCTGGGCAACAAGAGTGCAAAACTCAGTCTCAAAAAAAAAAAAAAAATGGTTACAGAATACTAACAGAGCTGGAAGAGTTTTTGGGGATCTTGAGTCTGCTTTACTATTTCCAATAATTTTAGTAAAAATATTTTTTATTAGAAAAAAGTTTTTAAAATAAGGTTTTATAAACGACATTATATTTTAGATAAATCACAAAGGACAATAGGGATGTAAATTAGTCATTGTTCTATCAGTGTTAATACTTATGAATATACTATCCACTAAATTATTGTCTCTATTATCTTACAGTGGAATTCATCCTTTAGTTACTAAGGTTTTCTGTAATATGGAGACAATTCACTCGATGTTAACAAAAGGTTTCCTATAATATGGAGATAATTCACTCGATGTTTTCTATTTCTCTGGTAAGAGAAATATAAAAACATTTTCTTTTTAGGCCCAATGGAGACAAATAGCTAACATCTCTCTGGATTTTAAAAGATGAATAAAACTCTAGAAATTAAAGGCTACATATTTCAACTATAGCTGACATGTCCTTATGTTTTTCAACAGAGTGAAGGAACTCTCCTCTAAAGCAAAGTTGTTTAGAAAGATTTCAACTGTTCATATTTTCTCAATATTTTGAAATTGCTAGAATATGCTGTAGCACAATAAACCATTTTAAATACTGACAAAGAATCTTCAGTTAAATATGAAAATATTCTATTGATCTTCATGTTTCAAGATACAACCTAATTATAATCTGGTACAGAAATGGGTAAATCTAAAGCTTGCAAGCCAAAATACTAGCTTAGAAAACAATATTAGTAGCAAAGAAGAAATGTTTTTTAATCTTGAAATGTGACATAAAATCTATTTTGATTTTATTTCCTATATTTTCAAAGAAAATTGCTGGCATTTTAAAAATTATAATGTATATACTAGAATATGTTGTTTGTCAAGATGTCCTGAATACTTTAGCAAATTGGTCAATCTATTAAGAATCAGACTGTGAATATGAAAAGAGATTAACGTTTATATTAAAAGCATTATATTAGAAACTCTATTAGATTATTTCTACTTTTCGAATCAATATGAAGGTATAGTAATACTTTACAACCTCTCTCAATAGCCTCATTTTCCCTTTAAAGTCAAGAGTCTATTCTTTGTTTTTAAATTTAATTTAATTTTAAGTTCTGGGATACATGTGCAGGACGTGCAGGTTTGTTACATAGGTAAACGTGTGCCTTGGTTTGCTGCACCCATCAACCCATCACCTTGGTATTAAGCCCCACATGCATTAGCTTTTTATTCTGATGATCTCCCCCCACCGTCCTCGTGACAGGCTCCAGTGTGTGCTACTCCCCAGCCTGCGTCCATGTGTTCTCATTGTTCAGCTCCCACTTATAAGTGAGAACATGTGGTGTTTGATTTTTCTGTTCCTGTGTTAGTTTGCTGAGGATAATGGCTTCTAGCTCCATCCATGTCCCTGCAAAGGACATGATCTCGTTCCTTTTTATGGCTGCATAGTATTCCATGGTGTATATGTACCACATTTTCTTTATCCAGTCTATCACTGATGCACATTTGGGCTGATTCCATGTCTTTGCTATTGTGAATAGCACTGTAATAAACATATGCATGCATGTGTCTTTATAATAGAATGATTTATAATCCTTTGGGTATATACCCAGTAATGGGATTGCTGGGTCAAATTGTATTTCTGGTTCTAGATCTTTGAGGAATCTCCACACTGTCTTTCACAATGGTTCAACTAATTTATATTTCCACCAACTGTGTAAAAGTGTTCCTATTTCTCCACATCATCTCCAGGATCTGTCATTTCCTAACTTTTCAATAATCACTATTCTGACTCATGTGAGATGGTATCTCATTGTGGTTTGATTTACATTTCTCTAATGACCAGTGATGTTGAGCTTTTTTTTATATATGATGTTTGTTGGCCACATAAATGTCTCCTTTTGAGAAGTGTCTGTTCATGTCCTTTGCCCACTTTTTAATGGGGTTGTTTGGATTTTTTCTTATAAATTTGTTTAAGTTCATTGAATCTACAAGTGTCTATTAATAGTCTCTCAAATTGGTACATTTGCCTATTTCTATTGGTTTAGTCCCTGTGGTTATGGGGCAATTTCTATTGAATATTAGGATATACAAACATGCAGCTTTTAGTTGATTTGAAGTAACAATTTGGATTCAATGCAGTGCACATAGAGATTTTCTTAAAAAATAAGTTGTTGGTCTTTTCTAGTTCAAACTAGTTGTGTTACTTTGGGTAATTCACATATCCTTTCTGGATTTTAGTTTTTCTTTTCTGCAAAACACTACAAATACATACTCCTTAAATTTCATATAGTTTTAAAATAAAATGACTCTTCATGATATTAATCATTTATAACTTAGTGTGAAAGATTTTACCTAAGAGCAAGTTTTGATAAGATGTCAGCTAATATTTATTTAATATCACACTGTGCTAATCATCATACATAGACACAATGAGTAATTAAATCTTTCCAACAAACCTGTCAGGGGGTATACAATCATCTTCATTTCATGAATATTTCAGAGAAGTCAAATTGTTGCCTATGGTAACACAACTAGTTCATGAGATATCTGGCATTCAAAACCAGGACTAGTCTTATTTCCAAGCCCGAGTTATTGTTTTACTCATAGTCTCCTATGCAGGTGCTGAGGTAGAGACGATATAGACTTTGGGGGCACTGAAAGCTGACTATCACTGAAGGAGAAAAAGCACAAAAATTGGTGACTTGAGGAAAAGGATGAGACTATTTAATTCCCTTGAATTGTCATTTATTCCTTGGTCAGCTTAACTCCAATTAATTAACAGCCTAAAAGCAAGTGGGTGGTGAAATGTTACACTTGTATATTTTTCATAAGATTAATAAGTGAACTGTTTGTGTTGTATTGCTTTGTTCCAGAAGAAATAGTCTTTTAAGAAAAGCAGAATTTGTACCTAACCCTGTATAAGTGAGGATTTCTGAAATATATCCTTTATGAATGTCTTTTTATTGCTTCAGTGGTCATGTACATTGTCTTGTGTATAGTAAGAGCTTGCTTAATGTTTATCTGTTTGAAATTACAATGAAAGCCCATATGGAAAAATAGTAACTTGCAGTTTGATAAAAGTTACCTATTTCATCAACCTTCTCAAATTTCAAATAAAAAGCCTGGAATAACTGACATAAAGGCAAATTTTATACAAATATAAATATAAGCATCAATACAATCATAGCAACAATAAACATGAATATGTATATTTTATGGATAGATATAGATAAATGTGTACATGTGTCTGTGGATTTGCATTCAATCACACCCATACTATAATAGATGTGTAGTCAAAATAGAAGTAAATCAAATTATTCAATATAAATTTATTGCAGTTAACCATCTGTGATGAAATTCTCATGAGATTTTCTTTAATTTTTTTATAAATGAGGAAAATGAAATAGTAAAATTATAAACACATCATATTTATAAGCTGTCCTTTTAAATAAGCTGTGATTCTAAGCTTCCATCTGCTTTCTTGCTGAATGACAGAGCATTTTCTCGTCTTTCTTCATTTTTCTGAGCGAGCTCCTGCAATACAGAGGCCCAGATAACATGCTCCTATGCTCTGTCAGCTTGTTCTGCAATAAATCATCAGAGACAACAACATTTGTTTACACCTATGTAAAAGGGTCTCCTGGGAAAAATCTGTGAGAAGAGAAAGTACTGTCAACTGTTTTGTAACTTCATTTCTTACTTCCACATCCTTTTATCTTTGTCTTTTATAGGAGTCAGTCTATGCATTATTTGTTTTTGAATATTATGAGACGCCACAACTGAATTAGTGAGGACCCTGGATCTTAACTCCTATAAGACAAGCTAGAACAAACAATAGTTAGTGACTAAATATTTAATCGTATGATATATGTTTTTGGCTCATATTGTGTTATACATTAAACAAAAGTGAAGAATGTTTGCTGTGATGGTTCTTCCCTTTAGTCATCGAAAGATTATTCCAATAAATCTTATACAGAAAAGCCCCATTCCTATGTGTAATAAAGAAATTGGAGTTTTAAACCTATGCAGAAGTTGTAACTAAAATTGTATTTTAGGCAATACTTTTTCAAGTGCCTTCTATATATTAGGAAATGGTAAATTATGTGACATCAAATAAACAAATGTTCTTTCTTATTGCATCAATAATGTTTTCTGTTTTGGCCTAGAAATCTAGAATTCTAAAAATACATAAGAAAATTTAGGGATTATCTGGCTCAACCACATTATTTTACAAATAAAGAACTGAAGTTCAAAGAGTTACAGGACTTGCCGAAGGTCATACAGAAAATTACTGCTAAAGCCTTTGAAGCTCCATTTGCTGTTTTCTCCAGCATTTTTGGATGCTTGTGAGTCAATGAACGAGCCAACTACCCCATCATATGGCCACACTAGGGCACCTGGCATATGGAATCTCCTCAGGATCCTCAACCTTACTACTAGAGCTAAATTTGAGATGAAAGACAAATGAAAAATAAAATATCTTAGAGAGAAGACATTTTAGAAAGTGAATAAAACAAGGGAACATTTAAAAATAGCCTATACAGCCTTCAAGTAGCCTAACCTAACCTAATTGACCTATCAAAAGTTTTCTGAACCCTGGGATACTGAGTGGTGCAGTGGAAAAAAGGATTTTGAAGGCTGATTTTAGAATGCTTGCTTTGTCTATCACTGGCAATGTGACCTTAATGAAGTGATTTTGCCTCTCAGAAATAACCACTTGGGGGTAACTTAGGTGAGATACTGAGCAACACACTTCTTGTTTACTCATATTTGTTCTTCCCACCGCGCTTGGGTTGTACTGGTAACCCACAGTATAATAATCCCACAGAGATGGAGGTCTAAATACACCAGTCAAGGAGACCTTCAAGCAAGGTTTGGAGGTCTCTAAATTTGTCATTGTAGACACCAATTCACATTTGAATACTGGGTCAGAGCTAATATCCTTTTATATTCAATGAAAGAAAGACCACTTACTCCCAATACTTAAAAAAATAAACTTTCAGTGAATAAGCCTCATAGCCAGGATGAGTCCAGGCAAAACATGAAACATGAAGCAGGCAGTATGGGTTTCTTGTGCATTCCAGAGTCCATTGCTTCTCTTCTCTTTCCCTTTCCTGAACCCTACTCATTCACTCTCCAACCATCTTCTCTACGCTCTGGATATGGTTTGGCTCCAGGTCCTCACCGAAATATCGTGTTGAATTTTAATTCCCAGTGTTAGGAAGGGACCTGGTGGGAGGTTATTTGTTCATGGGGCTGGAGTTTCCCCTTGCTGTTCTCTTGACAGTGAGTTTTCACAAGATCAGGTTGTTTGAAAGTGGGTTGCACTTCCCCATTCACTCTCTCTCTCCTGCTGCCATGTGAAGATTGTGCCTGCTTCCCTTTTGCCTTCTACCATGATTGTAAGTTTCCTGAGGCCTTCCCAGCTATGCCTACTGTACAACCTACAGAACTGTGAGTCAATTAAACCTCTTTTCTTCATAAATTATCCAGTCTCAGGTAGTTCTTTATAGTAGTATGAAAACAGACTAACACAGATCTCTTCCCCTATCAAAAACTTATTGACAGGCAGAATCCATAACTAAATATTCTAGTGTTGTCCCATCCTGGAAACATGTGCACTTTAACAGAAAGCTCTGTGGGAAGGGAACAAACACGAATCATTATGGCTCATCATGGGCCAGCAGGGTCCTAATAGGTGTTGGATTATCTAGTTCTCTAAGTAACACTGTGAGGTAGATACAGTTATCTCAATTTTTACAGATAAGAAAAGAGAAAGGAAATAGAGACAGTAGCCAGAAAATGTATGTGGGGAATGAGTATGTATATGGATGGAGCGGCAGGGTGGGGGGGTCAAGGAGAGAAGTGAGAATGTGCCCTGGGTGAGCAAATCACATTGACTTTGCAAATTGGGTCCTGGAACTCTTTGATCACAATTATGGAGTCACTCTTTCTGGAACATACTATACCGTTCACAGCATTTGTCTTACAGCTGGGCCTTCTTGTTCTTGTTCTTCGTTTTTCTTTCTTCTTGTTATGCTAGTGGTCTTGGCTGAGTAATCTCAGGAAAATCAGAGACCTCCCTTTTTTTCTAAGAGTCTTCATTCCTTCCAATCCAACATGTTTAAAGGTGGGTATCAAACTCATAAAAGTAAGAATTTACTTATTACTGCAGTCAGTCCCATTCCTTCTGTCTCCAACCAGTTTTGATCCTTAAATGTTCACCGTTCTGTTCTTAATTCTATGGTCTTTCAAATTCTGATATATTGTCTTTCACTCTGGTCTTCAATGTAGTCAAAGTAAAATTTTAAGGGGAAAATAAGATGCGTGATCTTCTCACACACATTTTCATGAAGTTGATTCCAGTGTGAGAATTGGCAAGTGCAGGAAGGCAAAAGTCTCTTAAATCAGATGTTTCCAAAAAGTAACCATGGACATCCACTCCTACTCTACTCTCTTCCAAATAAGTTATTGTTTTCTGCTATGGAAATATAAATTATATTGTGATGAAATTACTCAGTTTTCTCTGTGCAAGGAGGCAGAAAGGATAGCTTAAGAATTATATTTGATTAGATCTCTAGTCATAAAGTAATTATAACAGTAATTCAGTCACTCTGTAATTTTACTAAAGGCAAGGAAAGCAGACTTTTGACTTGAGAAATATGTTTTATCTGTATTTTAATCAAAAATGACTTGTATACAACAATCTGCATTTAAAGAAAAACTTGATATGTTCACATTCATACCTAACAACATTAGAAATTATTATTTCTGAATTTTCATAACCCATGTAATTGTATATGAATGACATTAAAGGTTGCAAACTAAATACAATAGTGATGTAGCCTGCTCAACAAAGTTCTCATTCAGAATAAGAGACGTCTAGGTTGAATATATTCATTCAAGAAAAAAATCATTTTTATTGTCCTTGAAGGATTCTGATGTTAGAAACAATATTTTATATGATAGCAAACAGTTAGTAATAAATGAATTTAGTCCTTTTCAAAGCATCATTATTGAGCACTTCAGAAAATCTGAGTGTTGGGAGGAAAGAGCTTATTAACCTCAGTCCTTTTTTAGTGAGAAGATAACCATGCAGACATTATTTTATTGTACCATGTACTGTAACCATGCAGACATTATTTATTCACAGAATAAATAGAGGATAAAGGCAAATCTAAGATTTAAAAAATAATTTTCTGCCATGCCCTTTCCCTTCCTTCCCTTCTTCCTTCCCTCCCTCCTTCCCTCCCTCCTCCCTCCTTTCCTTCCTTCCTTCCTCCTCTCCTTCCTTTCATTTTTTTATGCCATCCTATAGCCAAAGAAATGTTTTATACCTTTTTGTTGCAAAGGAAACTAAAATAAACTTCATGATCCCATTAGAGTTAAAACAGTTGTGTTTTCTTTCTCATTCTCGGCAGCTGATTTATTTTCAGGGCTGATGTGTTTAGAGTGGGTTTGAATATATGGGAGGGTAATGAATGGTACTAAAAAAAGTCCATGTTTACACTTCTCCTTTTTATTATGTTTCTACACTAATGTGCATTTTGGTAATTAGACAATTATTCTATAGCCAACTGTATTTGTTAAATCCTAGTTTGGAGACTTAAGTAGTCTCTGAATGATTTTTGTGCTAACCTGTAGTTCCTCGCTGTTGTTCCAAAACTGTATCTTTGAACCAGAAAGGTATACAGTTTATTTAAAGGTATCATACTCACCATCTAACTCTGTTATGATTAGTTGTATGACATCTGTCAAATTCCCTAATATTTATAAGCTCAGTTTTCTCATTGGTAAAATGGAAATGTCAGTGTTTTTGGGGAGATTAAATGACATTGTGCATCAAGGCATTTATCATGGTGCGTATACAAAGAAAGGCCAAGTAAATGTTAGTTCTGCTTCTAAACCTAGTCTCCCCAATATATGCAAAATATCAGACGAAGTTTTATGATTACTTAAACTCATAAAAATAACTCCGGGATTCAAGAATATGGCTCTTTTAAAAATTACACCAGCATAAAATGTGACTATGTGTGTGATATTTTTAAATACATACATTCAGTCTGATGTAATCTATTAAATAATCTTGGAAAGTAGACACATATCCAACACTTGTATCATTGCTCAAAACTTTCTTAGACCTTATTAATGAAAAACTCTCCAGAAGCAAATTCTGAGCCATATAAAAAATCAGCATTATTGTTTTTATTTGACTGAAAATCAAGCCTATCTTTGAGGGGGCGAAGAAAGTCCAAATGAGATACTCTCTCTCATTTGAAAGAGCTTTGCAATTCATAAGAAACTATGTAGATATGAAATGTCACAGAATGGGAAGTGTTAATGGATAAGTATATCCTTACTGAGAATATTAACAATTTTGCCTTAGGCTTTTAAAGAAATTCTGAAAACCCCAGTGTTTTAAGCTCTAGTAACACCATTATTGCTTATATAGTCCCCAAAGTGCCCACCTGCAGATAACACCCATCTGAGCATGTAAAACTTAGTTTAAAAAAAAATAATCATTTCTTGTATTGACTTTACCACTCTGCTTTTGTCCATTTCTTGCCATATCTGAAATTATCTTCTGTCAATTAATTTTATCCATATATCTTAGACTGCTAAAGCATGCTCTTCAGTTTGTTTGTCTTTAGAATTAAATTCCTCTTAAGTTGGGTCTGAAATTTTGCCGTAGCAAGCCAATCATGACTTGGGCTGGAGGGCAGCAAATGAGTGCCTTAGTATCACTTTTTTCCAAGACTGATTTAAATGAAGAGCTGAGGTTGAAGTAAAAAATTTTCAAAATAGGGTTAAGTTTGTAATTTGTGGAGTGTGTCAAGGTGAGTGCAAATGAGTTATTAACTGAATGGATCAGGGAATGTTAGGTGTGGAATGGAAGCCTAGGAAAATGGCATCCACAACTGATGGGTAGAATAACACTTACGGTTCTGAGGCATGTTTGAATGGAGGGTAAAACCTGATTGGGCAGCTTAAAAATGTTGTGATTTAAACTAACCATCCTTAGATCATTTTGTTAATTGAGAACTTAAGCGAGAACAAGGTTTGATCATATATTGTTTCCTGACTAGCAGAAACGGATTTTACCTTATTAATGTTTGCATTTGGCTGTGTCTTGTTTACGTCTTTGTCAGAAGTCATTTCAAATTTTTTTTTGTTTTTTTTTATTTGAGGTCAGCAATTCCCTTTTCTATTCTGTGACTTTGTATTAATTATATTTTCTCTCTGTAGACTGGATGTGATACTTATTAATAAAAACTAACTTCTCTTTTCCTCAAGTATAGCCATATACATATCCTATTAGTGTCTATTGAGGCAACTTATCCCAACTGAGAAATTAGGGACTGTTGGTTTGCAGCTCCATTAATGAGCAAATAGGAAAGAGCTAAAGTGTTGCATATCATCTTTTCTGTACATGTCTGCAGATATTCATAGGAACCTTAGAAATGCAAAGGTAGCCAATTGTACAACATCAGGCTTTAAAAAGTAGTACATAATATTTTGAAAATGGGTGAAAATAGCATTTTTGCCAGAAGAAAATGACAAATATTCTTCAAATTTTTCCACCAAATAGTTAACAGCTTTATTGGAGATATTCCTAGAGCAAGCATGTGCTTCCCAACATAGCTAAATCTATGAGGCAAAGAGAGAGATGGGAGCAGAGGCACAATACCAAAGATGCATTTTGAATATAATGGAATACAAATCAGGTGTTAATAAAATACTCAGCTTTAAGGTTCATCAGTGGCTAAGTTACAGTGGGTCAAAATTATCAAGGTTCTTCAGTGAAATTATATGAAATGCTTCTCAAGAATCTACCCCATAACTTATAGACATTCAGACATTTCCTTCTACAGCTTGCAAAAATGGAAGAGTCTCTTGAATATGCATGCATACTACTTGCCATTGTATGTTTTGATTTATTTCATGATATTCTAATTTCAATACTTTAAGAAATACTGCATACTGTTTTCATTGTCTGGCAAATACACTTTCAAATGAAAACATTTTTAATTTAGAAAGGAAGGGGCTTGGAATTGATAATAAAATTACAGATACACTAAATTCTTCTTATTCAAAGTCACTTCTGTGCCCTTCACATCTTCAGATTTAATATATTAGAAGTTAAGAAGGTTTTCAGTTAGATTGAAAAAAGACATATTTTTAAAGTGTGTCATTTAAACGTTGAGTTTTAGGGACTTTATGAATATTTCAGCTTGGCTTCTGAGAAGTTAGTGTAACATATCTTTTCATAAATATAATTGTTACATTGAAAAAGGATCTCTTATTCCAGGCATATGCAGAGAGAGAAGAAATCGAGACTTCAGTAAGGTATGTCAGGACAGAAGAGTTCAGTTACCAAATCCCGGGAAGTAACATCACCACACTTATCAGAGTGAATGTCATAGATTCAGTCGCCACTGCACATCCTGCTCCTGTTGTGTCTAAAGTACTGCCAGTGTCTGTTTGATGGATTTGCTTTACATCACTGAAGTTCATATCATCTGGCATCCCTGTAGAGGCAAATAAGAAAGCACAGGTGATGCATGACCACTTCACCATAATACGTCTAGAACAACTCTTAAACTCAAAGTGTGGACAGCATTGTTTTTGGGGACCATTCTCTATGTTCACCTAACTCTAACATAATTAATATGACACAGGTATTTCTGTCCTACTTAGATTGGAGAGTTCAAGCTCTTGTGTGAAAATTCTCAAATATTATAAGAGCAAAGTGAAAAGATTTTTAGCTTTTTAAAATTTTTGGAACATTTCTCTGCCACTGGTAAGTAAGTGAAGACATTTAATTAATTAATATATCCTAGGTATGGGATTAGTTCTTGTTTCAGAGATTTATCACCTTCAGTAACTGAAAACTTTTCCCATGAAAATAAAACCAGTTGAGGGGATATAATTGAATAAAATATTTTTTAAAAGTAGAATTTCTACAGATCATATTTTACATTAGAATAAAGTAGGCCTAAGATCTTTTTCAAATTTATTTTCATTTTTACTTGACAAATTTTATAGATATTGATGGGGTACAATGTGATATTTTGACAAGTATACCAGGAGGAATGATAAAGTCAAGCTGGCTAGCATATCCATCACCTCACATCCTTAGCATTTTTCTTGTGGAGGGAACATTTGAAATGTACCTTCTTGGCAATTTGGAAATATACAGTACATTATGAATGATAGTTACCATGCTGCGCAATGGTCTAAAACATTTCTTCCTCCTGTCTAACTAAACTTTGTACCCTCCAACCACCATCTCCCCTCCCTTCCCCACATCCATCCCCTGGCAGCCACCCTTTTACTTTCCCCTTTTATGACTTCAGCTATTTTAGATTCCACATGTAAGTGAGATCAGGAATTAGGACCTTTATGGAAATAGCAAATAGCAAAGAATAATAGCAACAAATGTTAAATTATATCTTCCATACACACATACAGCTGTGAGGATGGAGGTGTAGATATCTATCAACAGATCAAAGAAGTTGTTAATGGGTGGACTGGAGAATGAAGTTAGGGATAAAGTGTTTCATTTAAAAAAAAGCGGGCAAAGTCATACACCAAGATCCAGTCGCATTCTGGTTATTACTTCCGTACGTTATGAAACCTGACAAGTTGAGGAAAAAACTATCCCCTTAATTAACTGGGTTGAAAGAATTGCTTTTTAAAGATGTTTACCTTAGTACGATATACCTAGGGAATTACTGATTCATCACTTATTATCTAGTGCCATCAGTGTTCTGAGACTAAGTGACTGAATTATCTCATAGCATGCCACTATCAGTCACAATTAACAGATTTAAATTCATTGTTACTACAGCCACAAATATTGACATGGTAATTACAGAGAGATTGAAAGAATAAACTTCATATAAGGAAAAGTCAATATTTATGTAATTAGGCCAATATATATATATATAATTCAGAAGATAAGCTGTGCTGCATTCAGACATGAGAGCACTAAAACGAAGCAAAGCTCTGCTGATCTGACATATTGATTTTACAGTCTGAGCTCTTACATTATTATTCATTGTTTGGGTGCTTGTTTTGCCCTTCTGTGTCATTAGGCAAGATGAATAAACTAGTGATTCCCTTTTTTATTTTTTTTAAATAGGGACTAGAGTGGAGTGTGAATATTTTAGTCATGGCTTTATACCTCTTGTTAAGCTTAACAAGAAGCTATGAGGACTCCAGGCAATTAAAAATATTTTTTTTTTCTAAGATAACTACATAAATTTGAGCATTACAGGATTTACTTTTCATTTTTAAGCATTGTGAATTTGTGTTTGGATGGGATCCATGAATAAGGTTTTCTTATGCCATTCTGAGCTTATATTTTGTTCATTCATGAGCCAGACACTGATTTAGGTTTAGTGGATGCCATCATGGGTGAAAATATGTAAGTAGAAAGATGTTAAATCTTATGCCTGCAAGCCAGACAATGGCAGGAGAGCTTTTCTGCCTTCAATCAGATGCTATTTTACCATCTTACATTAAGGTGTTACTAATAAATAAATGTAACAGTTCTAAGGAATATGGCCTTTGAGTAATAAGTATGTGAAAAGAATTCAAGATCTTTTCAAGAGCCTGGCAGTCATGGCCGTAGTTATGGATCAAATCACAACCTTGTCATCTGTAAAAAGACATTAGCATGCCAAAAATTCTAGCTCCATGAATATTTGATGCAATGATTATTTTCATAAAGAAATTTAATTAACCAAGCTTATAAATTATACCAAGGCTTATAAAGACCTATAAAAGAAAAAATTAGTTTGGAGATTTATTGTATTAATACATTAAAGAAAAACAAAGTAATTTTTGAATACTCTTATATGCATAACAGCAACACACAAAGGTGTGAATAAATTCATAGTTTTGCTCTTAGTGGTTTATGGTCTGATGGGGAAAGAAAATTGCGTTATTAAAAAATGAAGGAAATATTATTACACAGAGACAGACCTGGTGATTGGTGCTATGAAATATGGTAGGCCGAGAGCAGTGGCTCACACCTGTAATCTCAGCACTTTGGGAGGCTGATGCAGGCAGATCACCTGAGGTCGGGAGTACAAGACCAGCCTGACCAACATGGAGAAACCCCGTCTCTACTAAAAATACAAAATTAGCCAGGTGTGGTGGTGCGTGCCTGTAATCCCAGCTACTTGGGAAGCCGAGGCAGGAGAATCACTTGAACTCGGGAGGTGGAGGTTGCGGTGAGCCTAGATTGTGCCATTGCACTCCAGCCTGGGCAGCAAGAACGAAACTCCATCTCGAAATAAGGTAAAGGGATGTAACTTGGTCAGGGAGTGCTCTGCTAAGGAAGTGGTAAAGTGTATTAATTTATTTGATAATATCTACAGAGCCCTTGCTGTGGTGTCAGGTACAGTTCCAAGTACTTCACAAATGTTAAGTCATTTAATTTTCACAACAGTCGCATAAAATAGGCACTGTTATTATTACCTGCTTTTATAGATGAGGAAACTGAGGCACTAGAAAGTTAAGTGACCATAAGCAGTGGAGCCAAGATCAAATCCAGAAGTCTAGACCCAGTCTGTGCTCTGATCACCTGCCTCCCTGATTCCAAGCACATTGCTTGGCACCACCAAGTCAATACTTAAATTGAGAACAAAAAAGATAAATTATGTTACCTACAAAGTGCATTAGGAGTGTTTTCTCTCCTTCCTTGTCATCTGGAATGGCTGAGTAGGTGCTACTTTGGGGTATTAATCAAGTAACTGGAAGTATTCAGAGGTAGAATCCATGTGGGCAAGTTAATGATGACGAATCAGAATGGCCTGATGAATCTGAGAGGACAGCACCTTCTTTTTGTCATTTACACAGAGGCAGGAGAGTGTGGGTATTTTCCTCTATCTCTATTTCATCTGTCTACGTATTTTAAAAATGCTTTTAGTTTCACTAAGGAAAGGCAAGTATGTTTAGAGACAATTTGTTCTATTTTTAATAAAATTGCATGGACAAGAACGTATACATTGTTAATTTGCTCGTTCATTTATAAAATCTATTCACTGCCAGCTCTGTGTCAGGTATTGTGCTGGAGAGTGAATATACAGTGTGTACTTACAGCCTTTTCCTTCACACTTAGACGAGTCAAATCTATCTATCTATCTATCTATCTATCTATCTATCTATCTATCTGTCTATCTATCTCCACTAGATATATCTGACACCAGATTTCTTGACACTTAGACGAGTCAAATATCTATATATCTATATATCTATCTATATATATATCTCCACCAGGTATCTTTTTCACCATTCCAATGGTGAGAGTACGGGGCAGATGGAATGCTGGGAGCAGGACTCCAGATCCTATAGATCATTATTTGAATTCAACACTAAGTTAATAATGAAGTCAAAATAATTTATTTCTGGAAAATATCCATTTTTAAGGTAGCTATAGTCATGACACCTCAAAAAATATCTATTACAAAGAACACTTTTAATTAATATTGTTGAATGAATAAATTGAATAATGACTCATTTACACAAGAACAGGATAAGGTTGATATAATTATTTCCCCTTATTCTAAAGATTAGGAAGTTTGATATAATTAAGTTCCCTTATTCTAAATATTTGGAACAGGTGTAGAAGAAGTAATTTACTCAAGGTAACATAGCTGTGGCAGAATTCCAGTTGTGCCCCATTCAAATGTGGTCCTCATTGATTCCAGAGCCATACTGTTTGCCACTACACATTCAAAGCATTGAACTCGAGGTCAAATTCTGGCTTTGCCACAGTCTAGCTGGTTGACTTTAGCTATGACCCACATTTCTTGGAACTTTCAAATGAGAGCATTTTCAGTAAGAGAGGAGAGTTAATCAAAACATCTTTCTGGCTAAATTATTAAATCAATATTTGAAAAAATAAGCTAGAATTTTATCCCATAGCATTGTCTAAAGTAAATGTCTGTGGGACCAAAACTTAAGTAAAAATAATGAGGAAGTAAACAAAATATATAGGTCTATATTTTTATTTATATACAGTTGAGTAAAGCCTACATATTTTAAGTCAGAATCTATAAAAAGAAAATTAATAGTTTTGATATCACACAAGAAAAGAACCTTTGGTACAACAAAAAACACCACAACAAAATTGAGGATACACACAGAAAAATGGAGAAAATTTTGCATTATAGATTGCAGCAAAAAGATGTCTTGAACGTAAAAATAGTTGTTACAATCCATGTGAAAACTACAAATGTTCCTGTAGAGAAATGGTGAAAGAACAGAAATGGATATTTACAATAATAAGAAAAAGGGAAAGTCTTCTTCACTGGACAACAAATAAGTACTATCATACACACAATGAAGTGTCAATTATCTATTGTCCAGGTGTTAAAAGCAAGACAGAGAGGAGAGTGTAACCAGTTGGGCAAGGGTACAGCCCTTCATTAGAGAATTTGCCAAAATATATTAAAAGTGTTTAAAATGTTCATTTGCTTAGACCAAATAATTCCACTTTTATGCAGCAATTCTGTGTGAATAATGAAGAGTATGTGCACATATTTATTCAAAAATGTTAATCTGTGCATTGTTAATGAAAATCCTAAGCAAATTAAGTGCCAATTGGTAGGGAATTGGGTTAAGAAAATTAAGGTGCATTCATTTATTTAAAACTCTTTAAGGAGTAAATATTTATTAATACAGAAAAATGTATTTTGATAGCACTTAATGTATATAAATTTTAATAAAATACATGTATATATATACTTTCATGCTCTTTAATGTTCTTTTAATTCTAATAGTCTATTGCTGTGTTTCCTTGAGAGTAGAGACTCTCTCATTAATTTCTGTATTGACCTAGCAAGCATTTAGCAATAATTAGGTGAATGAATAAGTTGAATGAATTTAATCCAGGGCATAAAATTACTAAATAATACAAATATGTTTCTCTTAGTGTCTTTTAATATAAAAACAAAAATTATATTGCAGCAACTCAGACTGTAAAATAAAGGATTAGAATTAGATGTGAATTAGAATTTTACATTTAATAAGACAGGTGGTAAATATCATGGAAAAGATTCATTATGAGGAAACTGACTTGACAAATATCTTCTGAATAAAATTGCTACGAATCTTATTATGTTAAATTTAAACTGTTAACTTTGGTCACTAGTTACTAGACTAATTCTTGTCATTTATGCTAACATTAGCCACATGTATTTTGGCTGGACATTAAGGATTCTAACAAATCTGAGATGGCTTAGCATAACTATTTCCCATTTTTAAAGAAAGTATGAGGAGCTAATTCAGTCAGGTCATGTCTCCTAGTAAATATGATTGGTGGGTGCATCCAGTATGTTGGGTCAGTTGAGTTGAGGATATACTTTTTAAAATGATGAGTTGTTTTCCAAAACCTAGGGATTCTGTATAACCCGAGAACCAAAGAAGAGTGACTGTATGGCTAAAGATACAAGGTTCCCGGTAGCCCTATAGCCTCATCAACACTCGTAACTGAAGGGCAATGCAACTGTCTTCATGAAAGCCTTTTCTATTCCTTGTGAAACAGAATTTTGAGATATAGTTCTCTTTTTGATCTTAATGTTTTATAGCAATAGTAGCCTTCCTTTTTTGATAAATTATGTAAAAATAATGGAGTTATCCAAATTGTTAATAAGTGAAACAATGAATGAAATGAAGTAATGAGATATTCTGACTGTAAACCAAAGATTAAGGTAAAATAGTATAATTTATTTTGAAATTATAGCTCTGAGTAATAGCAAGGAAATTGTCACTGTATCAGATAAATTATTAGTGGCTCTCTAATAATGAATAATAACTAGACTTTTTTTTCTGGATTGAAGTTTAAAGATGAAGGGAATATTGTTTAGATCTTTTGACAGTTCCTGATGCTATATTTCATCCAATAATGGTCACCCAGTTCTTTTTCCTAAGTTTGCTTTATTGATTTTTGAAGAATTTAGCAAAAGAACACACATCTGATTTTGAAAGAACATATTATTTTAAGCTATTTTATAGCAATACTGATGTTATGATTTTTATCATTCTTGTGAAATTACTTCTAGAACGAATATACAAATAGAAAATTTAAAAGGTCATTTTTGCATAATTGGTAATTAAAACTAAGTATTAAAAGTATATCTATTAAATATACCACAGTACTCAGTTATATACTAGTTCTTAGTGATAAGAATTTACAGGTAATTTGGAATAATTATTACTAATGATTCAGAAAATTATTTTTAAAAAGTATAAGGCTGAAAAATACTATGAGTTAATGAAATTAGAAAATTTTATATCTTATTTAGGTTAGTGATAATATGGACTTAAAGTGCTATTAAAAATTAAAATAATTTAAAAATGCATATCTATGTCTCGACATATGGTAGTGATAGTCTGCAGTACCAAAGACAAAGAGAAATTTTTTCAAATGACCAGAAAAAAAGGTGGCTGTTAACAGAACAAAACATTAGATTAATTTTAAAGAAACAATAACAGAGGCTAAAATAAGTAGAATAATTTGTTCTATTGTTATTTTTGTTATTATTTTTAGAGATAGGGTCTTTCTATGTTGCCCATGCTGGAGTGCAGTGATACCATCATAGCTCACTGCAGTCTAGAACTCCTGGGCTCAAGCAATCCTCTTGCTTCAGCCTCTCAAGAAGCTGGGGCTACAGTCACATGCCACCATACCTTGATAATTTTTTTTAAAAAAAGTTTTTTGTAGAGATGGGGGTTTTGCTTTGCTGTCCAGGCTGGTCTTGAACTACTGGCCTCAAGTGATACCCCTGCCTTGGTTTCCCAAAATGTTGGGATTATAGGTGTGAGCCACACACCAGGTCAGAATAATTTATTTTAAACATGAAAGAAAGTAATTATCTATATAGAATTCTATACAGAGTTAAATTATGTAGAAGAAATGAGTACTTTCAAGAAAGAGTATTTCTAACCACTCCCTGACAAATTCTTTTTTTGGTTTTAATTTCCATTTTTATCTTAGTTTCATGGGGTACATGTGCAGGTTCGTAACACAGGTATATTATGTGATATTGAGGCTTGGACTTCTGGTGATCCCATCACCCAGACAGTGAACATTGTACCCAATAGGAACTTTTTCAGCCCTTGCCCTCCTCCTGCCCTCCCTCTTTTTGGAGTCACCATTGTCTATTTTCGTCTATATCTGTGTGTAGGCAAGATTTAACTCTCACTGTTAACTAAGAACATGTGATATTTGATTTCCTGTTTCTGCATTGATTCACCTAGGGTAATGGTCTCCAGCTGCATCCATGTTGCTGCAAAGGACACTATGTCATTTTTTTATAGCTGCATGGTGTCTGTATTAGTTTGTTCTCATGCTGCTAAGGAAGACATACCTGAGAGTGGGTAATTTATGAAGGAAAGAGTTTTAATTAACTCACAGTTCCACATAGCTGGGGAGGCCTCACCATCATGGCGGAAGACAAAGGAAGAGCAAAGGGATGGTGGCAGGCAAGACAGCGTGTGCAGGGGAACTGCCCTTTATAAAACCATCAGATCTCATGAGACTTATTCACTATCATGAGAACAGCACAGAAAGACCTGTCCCCATGATTCAATTACCTCCAACCAGGTCCCTCCCATGACACAGGGGAATTATGGGAACTACAAGATGAGATTTGGGTGGGAACACAGCCAAACCATATCAGTGTCTACATACCACATTTTATTTATCCAGTCTACCACTGATGGGCACCTAAGTTGGTTCTAGGTCTTTGCTATTGTGAATAGTTCTGTGATGAACATATGAGTGCGTGTGACTTTTTGGTAGAACAATTTCTTTTCCTTTGGGTATATACCAGTAATCGGATTGCTGGGTGGAATGGTAGTTCTGTTTTTATTTCATTGAGAAATCTCCAAACTGCTTTCCACAGGTGAACTAATTTACATATCCGTCAGAAATGTATAAATATTCCCTTTTCTTCCCAGCCTTGCCAGCATCTGTTGTTTTTTGACTTTTTAATAATAGCCATTCTGACTGGTGTGAGATGCTATCTCATTGTGATTTTGATTTGCATTTCTGGAATGATTAATGATGTTAAGCATTTTTTTCATATGTTTATTGGTTGCTTCTGTGTTTTCTTTTGAGAAGTGTCTCTTCATGTACTTTGCCCACTTTTTGATGAGGTTATTTGTGTTTTGCTTTTTGATTTGTTTAACTTCCTTATAGACTCTGGATAGTAGACCTTTGACAGATGCATAGGTTGTAAATATTTTTATCCATTATGTAAGGTGTCTGTTTACTTTGTTAATAGTTTCTTTTGCTGTACAGAAGCTCTTTGGTTTAATTAGGTCCAACTTGTCAACTTTTATTTCTGCTGCAATTGCTTTTAAGGACTTGGTCATAAATTTTTTACCAAGGATGAAGTCCAGAAGGGTATTTCCTATGTTTTCTTCTGGGATTTTTATACTTTGAGGTCTTACATTTAGGTCTTTAATCCATTTTCGGTTAATTTTTGTATATGGTGACATGTAGGAGTCCAGTTTAATTCTTCTGTATATGGTTAGCCAGTTTTCCCAGTACCATTTATTGAATAGGGAGTCTGTTCCCCATTGCTTATGTTTGTCAACTTTGTCAAAGATCAGTTCTTTCTATGTGTGCTGCTTCATTTCTGCATTATCTATTCTGTTCCATTTCGTCTGTGTTTTTGTACCGGTACCATGCTGTTTTTGTTACTGTAGCCTTGTATACTTTGAAGCTGGCCAATGTCATGCTTCCAGCTTTGTTCTTTTTGCCTAGGATTGCTTTGGCTATTCAGGCTTTTTTTTGTTCCATATAAATTTTGATTTTTTTTCCCTAATTCTGTGAAAAATGACATTGGTCATTTGATAGGAGTAGCATTGAATCTATAGATTGCTTTTGGCAGTATAACCACTTTAACAATATTGATTCTTCTAATCCATGAGTGTGGAATGTTTCCCCCTTTGTGTCATCTGCAATTTCTTTCATAAGTGTTTTGTAGTTCTTCTTGTAGAGATCTTTCACCTTCTTGGTTAGATGTATTCCTAGGTATTTTATTTTTTAAGGCTATTACAAATGGGATTATGCTATTGATTTGGCTCTCAGCTTGAATGTTATTAGTATATAGTAATAATATTGATTTTTGTACATTGATTTTGTATCCTGAAACTTTACTGAAGTTGCTTATCAGGTTTAGGAGACTTTTGGCATTCTTTAGAATTTTTTAGGCATAGAATTGTATTGTCAGCAAAGAGAGATAATTTGACTTCCTCATTTCCTATTTGGATACCTTTTATTTCTTTCTCTTTCCTCTGGGTGGCACTTTCAATATTACATTGAATAGGAGTAGAGAGAGTAGACGTTTTGTCTTGTTTCACTTCTTAAGGGAAACACTTCTAGCTTTTGCCCATTCAGTGGGATGTTACTTGTGTGTTTGTCATAGACGGCTCTTCTTTACAGGTATTTTCCTTCAGTGCTTACTCTGTTTTTATCATGAAAGATGTCGGATTTTATCAAAGGCCTTTTCTGTGTCTATTGAGATAACTATGTGCTTTTATTAGAATTCTGTTTATGTGGTGAATCGCATTTATTTATTTGTGTATATTGACCCAACCTTGCATCCCAGGAATAAAACCCATATGATTATGATGAGTTAAATTTTTTTGTGCTGCTGAATCCAGTTTGCTATTTTGCTGAGGATTTTTGCATCTATGTTCATCAGGGATACTGGCCTGCTGTTTTCTTATTTTATTGTGTTTTTGCCAGGTTTTGGTATCACAATGATATTGGCTTCATAGAATGAGTTAGGAAGGAGTCATTCTTCCTTACTTTTTTGGAATAGTTTCAGGGGGACTGGTACCAGCTTCTCTTTGTACATCTGGTAGAATTCAGCTGTGAATCCATCTGGTGCAAGGCTTTTTTTGGTTCATAGAGTTTTTAAAAATTTATTACGGATTTAATTTTGGAACTTGTTACTGGTCTGTTCAGGATTTCACTTTCTTCCTGATTCAATCTTGGGAGGTGGTGTGTTTCTAGGAATTTATCCATTTTCTCAAGATTTTCTAGTTTATGGGACTGAGATGTTCATAGTGGTCTTTGAGGATCTTTTGTAGTCTGTGGGATCATTTATAATGTCACTTTTGTCATTTCTGACTGTGTTTGGGTCTTCACTTTTTTTTTTTCAATTCTAAAAAATTATTTAAGACCACAATTAAAAATGCAGGAAACTCAACCCAGAATGAAAGAGTGGTATGAAAGTTGTAATAGTGATCAAGGTAACTGACAAGCATCTAAGTAACTGTCTATTAATGTTGGCTGAAAAAGCAAAGCAATGGTTATATTAGGGAGTTCAAATCATAATGTAATTACAACACTTGGAAATAATTGTTTATTCTAACATGTTTGTATTAGGAAGAAGTGTGAAATCTTAATTAACTTTATGTTATATTCACACAAATATGTATTTTATTGAATATTAAAAATTCAAAGTTAACCACTTAAATAATTAATATAGGATGTATACATTCCTAATCCACTGAGGAAAAGAGTATTAATGACATTTAATAGAAGTCAAGAAGAAACAAATGAACAAACAAAGAAGCCTGGTGCTATATATACTAGTCATTAACTGTAGTGATCATATCTACAGTTTGATAGGAGTTGTGTTTGGAACCAGTAGAGTTAGAAACATTCTTTTTCTTCTGAAGTTAGAAACAAAATAGAAGCAAAATATGCCCATTAGTCATTTGCATTTATATGCTTTCTTTTAAAGATTTAAATGTTAGACCTGAAACCACAAAAATACTAGAAGAAAATCTAAGGAAACTTATTTGGGCATTGGTCTCAGCGAAGAATTCATGATTAAGATCTTAGAAGCATAGGCAACAAAAATAAAAATAGACAAATGTAACATTTTTAAACTAAAAAGCTTCTCTACAGCAAAACAAATAATAGAGTGAATAGAAAACCTGCAGAATAGAAAAAAATTTGCAAACTATTTATTTGGCAGGGTAATAATTTCCTGAATTTATAAGGAACTCGACTCAAAAAACAAACACATAAAACAAAATGTGCTAAACTTTTAGATTTCTCATCCTCTTTTGGATTTGCCAGGCTACGGTGAAGGTACATTCTTCCCTGCGCTTTATCATGGAGTAAATGAGGCAGACTCTATTCCCTTTGAGAAAAGTCAGTGATATTTTTTCAGCTATGCTTCTGACTTGATAATAATTCTTAGGTGAAATATTACATATCATATGTAATCACATTTTCCAGTCTGGGTTTTAATAGTAAAATCGCTGATATTTTTATTTTTATCTGTCTGATACTTGTATTTTAGTTGTTTCTAACTTCTTAAAGGAATGTTTCTTATTGCATTGGCTTGAAATTAAAGCTTTATGTAATAAATCAATAAATATATATTTAATATCTATTGACTAATATATATATATTCATAGATAACATCACTACAGTTGGGGTAATCTATATATATTCAATAAATATATATATTTTTCTATATATATATAGGATATCTATATTCAATAAACTGTTAAATATATTAATATATATTTATTGAATAACATATATATAATATATATATCTCTATACCATCACTACAGGTGGGGTAATGACTAGTGGATATAGCACATAAATTAAAGCTCACATAAGATATTTAGAAAAGAGAGCATATATTAAGGCAAAAAGGAAATATTAACTATTAGCAAATGGTTTTAACACAAAGAACATGGAGCCCTTGACGACAACACAATAAAATTGAAAGCCAAAACTAAAGGAGAACCATGATCCCTACAACTATCATCTATGGTCTTAAAAGAAGATCTAAATAAATGTAGAGATGCAGCAAGTTTATAGATGAGAAGACTTAAGTTTATATATAGTGTCTCTTACATTGTGTTCTGAAATTTTATCATGATGTCCTTTGATGCGGCACTATTGGATATTCTGTGCTGGGCATCTCGCTGGGCCCTTTTCATCTAGAAATGCATATCTATTTGGGGAAATGTTCTTGAATTATTTCATTTTCTCTGTTGTGTCTGAAAGTCTCATTATTTGAACAATGGAAACCCTGAACATGTTCTCCAGTTTCTTCTTCTAGTGTTCATTTTACTCTACTTTCTAGGAGATTTCTTGAACTTTATTACTCAGTCACTTTGTTGATAATTTCATAGGTTTTAAGCTTACTAGCCTTTGTTTCTCCAAGTGGAACTTGTGTTATTGTTTTTGTTTGTTTAAATCTTCTCAGGCCTATTAAGATGGTAATGACAGTACAGTATTCTCGCCTTATCGGATGGGGATATATTCCAAGACCCCTAGTAGATGCCTGAAACTTTGGATAGTGACAAACCCTATATATCCTATATATCTTCCTAGATATACATACTTATGAGATGGTTTAATTTGTAAATTAGGCACAGTAAGAGATTAACCACAATAAATCATCATAAACTACAACAATTATCACCATCTGTGTCATGTGAATGTAGACTCTCTCTCTCTGAAAATACCTCATTGTAGTGTACTTATCTGTCTTCAGATTGGGGTTGATCACAGGTAAATGAAACCACAGAAACTAAAATCTCAGATAAGGAGGACTACATTTTTGAAAAGTTTTCTTCTCTCAGTAGAGTCTCTGTTTAAAGTTGGATTTTTTTTCTGCTTGTAGATTTAACCATTTTTCATGTTATACACTTAACATAAGTGGTGACCCCTGATTATGGCTATATGCTAACATTTAAGAATGGGGACTGAAAAGCTGGTCGAAACTCTAACTCTGATGTGCAAATGGAGCTCAGCAATTGTTAGACAAGTGTGATCTGACTTAGGTGCTTGTTAGGGAACCTATGTTTGTCAGCCAGGATAAGGTAGGTCAGGCTGGAAAAACAAATTGCCCCCAAAATATTGGCAGCAATGGCCCCTTTTAGTCCAGGTGACTCTGTATATTACCACTTGGTATCTCACCTTCATATCAATATATGCTTCAAAGCTCACCAGAGCAGTAGGACACAGGTGTGGAGACACAAACTGCCAAGTAGGAGCTTCCGTCTGGGGACCAGGCACAGTGGCTCATGCCTGTAATCCCAGTGCTTTGGGAGGCCAAGGTGGGAAGATCACTTGAGGCCTGGAGCTAAAGGCTGCAATGAACTATGATAGCATCATTGCATTCCAGCCTGGGCAACAGAGTGAGATCCCATCTCTAAAAAATAAAAAATAAAAAAAGCTTCCACCTGGAAGGAACATGTGTCACTTCTGCTTACTAGGTCATTGGTCAAAATGAGTTGCAGGATGTTTCTGAAACTCAGGGTGCAGGAATTATGTCATAAATTTGTTTAATATAGTTGTTGTTGCATTTATCAAGTTTTAGGCTTGACATAAGTGATTTGAACCCCCAAATCCCATCACCTTTGACCTAGTTAAAACCGCTTCTCCCCTTTTGGTTGTTTGCTGTGTAGCTTGCTTATCCCTCATCTCACTGACCCCAAACCCCAACACAACCACAGTTGCTAAACACGCTACAACGTAATGGTCAAACCAGAGTCGTGTAAATACGTTCCCCTCTTTGTGAGTGTTTTCTTTAAACTAGCCCATCCACAAGCACCAAGGAAAAGTCTAAGTGATAAGAGCTCATGGTTCTTAAAAAAGACTTAATCCAAGAATTCCTCTTTCTTTCACTCTGCATACAGGTTGAGTGCCCTGATGCCTCTGGACTTCCTGTTGTCCTCCTGTTGGTACTCCGAATCTCTCTGGGACCAGCGAGGAATAAATTTTTTTTCTGTTTCATGCATTTTGGTTTCACCTCCTCATTGTATCTCAGAGCCTAACTTTCCTCCTGGTCAGGGCTCTCTTACAGAGTGGCTATCTTGGCTTATGGCTATTCTTTTTTTTTTTTTTTTTTTTTGAGACGGAGTCTTGCTCTGTCACTCAGGCTGGAGTGCACTGGGGCCATCTTGGCTCACTGCAAGCTCTGCCTTCCGGTTCACGCCATTCTCCTGCCTCAGCCTCCTGAGCAGCTGGGACTACAGGCACCCACCACCACGCCTGGCTAATTTTTTTTTTTTTTTCATTTTTAGTAGAGATGGAGTTTCACCGTGTTAGCCAGGATGGTCTCAATCTCCTGATCTTGTGATCCGCCCTCCTTGGCCTCCCAAAGTGCTCGGATTACAGGAGCGAGCCACTGTGCCCGACCGGCTTATGGCCATTCTTGAGCAAAAGAGAGACTTTAAGACTAAATTCAAGAGAAAACATAATAATACAAATTACAACAAATGTGTAGTTCTACCATGTACACAAAGGGAGATCCAGAAATACTATAGATCAAAAGCCATGTCTCATGCCTCTTTTGTCTTTGTTTCCTCTTAAACTAGGCAGATACTGAGAGAAGACTCTTCCAGCGTCTTGCCTGAGAGCAACTCCCTGGTTGCAAAAATTCTGGGAGCCAAATGGGAGAAGTAGGCTGGGACCAGAGTGTAGATGTCAGTATTTTTTATAGGTAGGTAGGTGATATGGTTTGGATCTGTGTCCCCGTCCAAATCTCATGTCAAATAGTAATCCCCAGTGCTGGAGGTGGGGCCTGGTGGGAGGTGATTGGATCATGGGGGCAGATTTCCCCCTTGGTACTGTGTCATGATACTGAGTGAGTTCTCATTATATCTGGTTATTTAAAAGTATGTAGCACCTCCCCCTTCTCTTTCTCTTGCTGCTCTGGAAATGTAAGACATGCAAGACATGCCTGCTTCCTTTTTGCCTTCTGCTGTGTCTGTAAGTTTCCTGAGGCCTCCCCAGGGCTAGATGCCTCCATGCTTCCTGTACAGCCTAAAGAACCATGAGCCAATTTAAACTCTTTTATTTATAAGTTATGCAGTCTTAGGTATTTCTTTATAGCAGAGTGAGAATGGACTAATACAGTAGGTAAGTAGGTAGATAGATTTAATACTTTTTCTTTCACAATAATACTTTTACTTTTACCCTCAACTGTACTGAGAATTCTCAAGTCCTTTCCAAAATTATATCTCCTACATAGTACTGATGTATGGGAGAGACAGACACCTGTTGGTTTGGAGTGGAGGAAGGGATAACTCCTCGTTACAGCTTTTGACTAATCCTTACTTTATAGACCTTTCTTCTTTAACCTCTCTACCAAGGATAACTGATGCTATCTATCCCTGTATGATTTTTTTTTTCTTTCTTGAGATGGAGTCTCGCTCTGTTGCCTAGGCTGGAGTGCAGTGGCACAACATCGGCTTACTACAGCCTCCACCTCCTGGGTTCCAGCGATTCTCCTGTCTCAGCCTCTCAAGTAGCTGTGCTACAGGTGCCCACCACCACACTCGGCTAATTTTTGTATTTTTAGTAGGGATGAGGTTTCACCATGTTGGCCATGCTGGTCTCGAGCTCCTGACCTCAAGTCATTCGCCTGCCTTGGCTTCCCAAAGTGCTTGGATTACAGGTGTGAATAACTGTGCCCAGCCTATCCCTCTATCTTTAGAGGAATCTATAGAGCAAATTGAGTTGGTTCTCTGCTTTCCTCAATGCTGTGAGGGAGTTGGCTTTCTTGGGCATCCTATGTTAGGCACCACGTATCATCTGCTCTCCAGCTTTCAAATGTTGTTATTGCTATCTCTTCTTCCAATTCCTCTGCTCTCAGTAAATTTAAGTTTTTGTTAAAAAAAAGGTTGTATATTTATTTTAGTGGGATTGTAGGAGGGAATACAATTAGGTGTGTCTGATCAATCTGTCACTTTGATGTCAACTTACTGAACATTTCCGGGGTCTTGCCACTGAATCTTTGTCATGACTCTCTGGCTATGTCTATGGCAGGGTTGGCAATCAGTTTGCACTGGTGTAGTTCATGTCAGTGTCTGTTCTAATTGGTCAGCATCCCTGCTGTAGATACTAATTATTCTTGATGATCATCCTTGATATGAAGACTATTGTGATTAAAAATACTGAGCAGTGTTTCATTTTGCCGAGAAACTTACTAGAGCTATGGGGATGGTTGGAATATTAAGAATTGCTGTAATTTTTACCCTTTAAATATTTTTGGCCCTTTAAATATTTTCTTTCATTTAGACTTTTCTATTGAACCCATATGCATATCATTCAGCACTGGATTGGGCATTGATTGAATAGATGCCATTTTTACTTACTAGTCTTTGTTAAAAATTAGCTGCAGCAAGTATAATGTGAACACTCATATGAAAGGCATCTTTTCTCCCAGTGAAAGGTAAAAATTAACTTCAGGAAAAAATTTGCCTCTGTTTTACTTCAGTAAGTGAAGAATATTAAACAGCTAATCCTTAGAGCTTAAAAATTGTCAAAATATCTAAGAATATTGTGCAGGAGAGATTGTGATGCTTATTACATTTATTAAATGGAAATAAATTATCTTGGCTTGTATATCCTATCCATCATGTGTATTATAAATTGCTATATTTAACTTAATACTTCAACCTCTAAATATTCTGTGTACATTATTCTTAAAGAAGCAATTCCATTGGCCCAGGGGATAGCTAAACAAAATACAGAGAGACAGTCATTGCTATCATTTCTAAGAAGAAGAGCAACATTATCCATGAAGATATCCATAGAGCACCACACACATGAGGAGAAGACCTTAGGCTGTGATGATGGTTCTTTGCTTGCCCCTATGGTGTTCTTAACTGGAGGTGTGTATTTAGATGGGACTATGTAACATAATTAAGGATATTATTTGCTGTACCTTGGGTCAACAAGATCTTATGAAAATAACAGATGCGTGTGTGAGGAGAGAACACTCATATTGAAAGCAGGGGAATTATATGGATTTTGAATATTACAGGATCACCTGACTTGACCCAGTATGGAAATTTTTCTATGCTTGCACTCCATCTCCTGGAATAAAAATCATACTCATTCTCTCTCAAACCCATATTTCATTGTTTCCTCAGTATCTAATCCCATGTGACATATGATAATGCAGTGCATAGTTTTCCACCTAATGTTGTTTCTGGTGTAGATCCATCTAACAACAATCATGTCAGTTCTTTTTGTCCTTGTCCTCATACACTTTCCAATTATAAATGCTGTGGTGTTTTACCCAAGTGTGTGTGTTTCCTTCTTATTTTCATCACCCAGCTTAAGATATATATAGACACACACACAGAGTCACACACAGAGAGTCATATATGTCTATATGTCTATATATTTTTGTCACTTATATTTGAGTTTATATATTGATCCCATCTACTTGATTTTAAGCCCCTTAAAGTTGCAATTATGTTTATTTTTGTTTTCTATTCCTAGGGCTTATAAGTAGCTCTTCATAGTACCCTACATTTAGTAAGTGGTTTTTAAAATATATAACTTAGTAAAAATAAGTTTGATATATAAACGAACACTTTACTCTTTTTAATTTATTAAATTAGAGCTACATAAACTCACAGAATTCATGCTAGGAGACAATGAAGTGTAGTAGAAAGAACCTGGGGTCAAGCTCTAGAAACCATAGAAAATTCTTACTGAGATTCAGTTTCTTCATCTGTAAAATCTGCATCATAATAAGGCCTTTTCCCAGGATAGATACAAAAATTCAATAAAATCATAAATGTAAAAAATACTTTTTAATATTTTTACACAGGACAGAAATATGATTTTTATTTACATATTAGAGGCCACTGCAGGCAAAGTGAGTTGACAAGCAAAGTTCATTTGGAGAGTAGGTTACAGAGCCAGAAATAACATGCCAGCCTCCTGACTCTCAGTTCTACGGCAGGGCGTCCTCAGGAGTCGCCTTCGGGACTCACTGCCCAAACTACCTTCACCACTAAAAAAGCTAGTCAGACATTGTGCAAAGTAAATAGGAACTCAGTAAGTTAGAAATAATCATCTCTATTATCAAATAATTATTACTACAAAGTTAATCACCTGCTTATAAGTGCTTACATTTCAAAGTTCAGCAAAGATGATTATTTAATTTGTGTGTAGGGTGAGCCCCTATATAGTTAGCACTTGATACACGTTGAATAAAAAAATCCTATAGAACACAGGCTCAACAAACGTTAGCTATATACAAAAAACAAATCTTCATACAACACACTCAACAAAGACAGGGTGTATCAGTCTCTTCTCACATTGCTATAAAGAACTACCTGAGACTGGGTAATTTATTAAAAAAAAAAAAGGTTTAATGGCTCATGGTTCCCCAGGCTGTACAGCACTGCTGGGGATGCCTCAGGAACTAGCAATTATGGCAGAAGGTGAAGGGGAAGTAGGTACATGGCTGGAGAAGGAAGAAGAGAGTGAAGGGGGACTTTTAAACAACCAGATCTCATGAGAACTCACTATCAAGAGAAGAGCAAGGGAGAAATCCACCCCCATGATGTAATCACTTCTCAGCAGGCCCCTCCTCCAATACTGAGGATTACAATTTCACATGAGATTTGGGCGAGGACACAAATCCAAACCATATCACAGTGGCTCACCTATTCCCAGGGAACTTGAGGTAAACTAAGTTTTCCTGCAGGTTTCCCACAGAACTCTGCACTCTAACTTTTAGAAGAGTATAGAACCTCTTTGCAAAGCAGAAGTTTATTGTTTCAAGAGTATTATGATGTAAAAAAGGATATTGATTCTCTAAGGGATAAACATTGTTCTGTGGAAGGGCCAGTTTTAGCACAGACTTAGGTGGGGAAAAATCATTTCTAAGTATAAAATCCAGAGAGAATGTGGCTATGTAGGTAGGGGTTGGAGGATACTACACAATGGAATAAGAGTAAATGGGGACCAGAGAGAAATGATTATCCATGAGCATCTCCATGTAGTCTTAGAATATCTCACTATCCCCGCAAAGAGGGCAAACTTTGAGGTGTATAGTTCTAACACCAACAATGGTGAAAATGCATTATAAAAGAAAGACTTTGAGATGGGCATACTTTTTATTTCTAAATAATAATCTACAGTGTATGTACCTTTTCAAAATATCCACATAGTTCTGTTTTTCAAAAATCTCCTTGGATGCATGAAGCAAAATTCAAGCACCTTGTGCAGGTAAAGCTGTTAGAAGTTATCTAAATATTGGTCAAAACAAATTTATTGTCTGAAGACTGTCACTTACCACCAGATGGAACACATTATGCACATGATAAAACTCTCTCATTTCACTCTCACTAATATTAGCAAATACTAGCTTGTTTATGGAATACTAAAGCTGCGACAATCTGGCAAGATCTGGGATGTTGCTATTCTATTCCCAATTTATTCTGTAGTGCATAAATACAGCAGTGATTGTGGATGCCAGGTAGGATTGCAAAAATCACTACAGCAATTGGATTCAATTAAATTAAGAACAACATGAATCCACAATACCAAATTTAGCCCCCAAACAAAATCTATACTTTACTAAAGTATTATCTTGGTACAGTGTCTTTCTATGTAATATGATTATATAGTTTGGCTCTGTGTCCCCACCCAAATCTCATCTTGGATTATAATCCAAATTGTGTTTCCCATGTGTTGGGGGAGGGACCTCATGGGAGGTAATTAGATCATTTCCCTCAGGCTATTATGATAGTGAGTGAGTTCTCACTAGAGCTGATGGTTTTATAAGGGGCTTTTCCCTCCTTCGCTCAGCACTTCTCTATCCTGTTGCCACGTGAAGAAAGAGGCTTTTGCTTCCCCTTCTCCTATGATTATAAGTTTCCTGAGGCCTCACCAGCCCTGCAGAACTGTAAGTCAATTAAATTTCTTTCCTTTGTAAATTACCCAGTCTCGGGCAGTTCATTATAGCAGTGTGAGAACGGACTGATAGGTATGGTTTCTCAACATTGTTTGTGAAGCTTAGAGCCATTTTAAATGGAAAAGCTTTTAAATATATATATCCCCAGTTTAGAAAACTGATTTTGGTTACAATGTTATTAAATATGTACAAATGTACAACTAGATACCTGTATATTTATGATGTAGGCTACAATAAACTTATAAATTAAAATCAAACAATGATAAAATTATTAATATTAAAATTACCATTATATTAATGTGATGGATGATTTTGTCATCCTGTCTGTAAATCCTCCTCTACTGTAAATCGGTATAGATAGTGTGATGGTTAATTTCATGTGTCAACTTTACTGGGCCATGGGATACCCAGATATTTGGTCAAAAATTATTCTGAGTGTTTTTGGGTAGGTATTTTTGAATAAGATTAACATGTTAGTAGGTAGACTGAGTAAAGCAGATTGCACTCACTAGTGTAGGTGGGCCCCCAGATAATCAATCAGTTAATGTCCTAAATAGAACAAAAAGGCTGACTCTTGAGCAAGAGAGAAACCTCTGTGTGTCTTCAAACTGAGACATCACTTTTTTCCTGGGTTTCAAGCCTGCCAGCCTTTGAATCGGAACTATATTGTAGATTCTCCTAGTTCTCAGGCCTCCTGGTTCAGGCTAGAGATAACACCATGGGCCTTCCTGGGTCTGCAGCTGACCATGAGTGAGGCTGAGAACGTGGAGGTTAGGGTCCAGTCAAAGGCATGTCAAGTCAGCGTTTCTCTGGACGTTATTTTCTTATCATCTTTTAAATATATGAAATATCAAGCTCATCAAAGGGATCGTGCCTCAGTTTTGCATTTTCTGAAACATAGAATAAATGTATCACATATAAAGCATCTTTTTTTTTTCCCTTATAGATCACAATGTATTCAGCTTCATCAGGAGTGAGTTATAACATTAGAAGCTCTTCTGGTCATAGAACGATTATTTCAACAGTTTTCCTCAAAATTTGTTGAGGAGAAAATATGGCACCCTGTGGAACACTAATGTCTCCAGCTGTAGCCAAATGGAAACTTAATAATTTTCCTTCCAACTGTATCTGTGAGCAGTGTGGACAGAGAATATAAAGGTTCTAGGAACACTCTTGCTCTCTAGAGTTCCAGAGATAAGCTTCCTCAACTCTCCTGGAAATACGTTGCACATTTACTGGTATAAATATTTGAAATCAGTAAACATTTGTTGGCTTCCTGTATTGTTCCAGGAACCATATTCAGTATTTTTTGTATATATAACTGCCATTTATTTATATGTTTTATAGATAATACTGATCAGGATTTCCAAAATACGAAGTGAATATATTTAGGAAATCAAAAATAATTGACCAGTTTTTTACTTCATGATGTGAACTGCCTATGTCCAAAGTCATAGTACAGGGTGAAGAGAACATAAGCATTTGTGTAAATACACAAAAGCAGGGACACACGTATACACACACACACACACACACATTTTTCCTGTAAAAGTACCACAAAATGCAAAAAGATGTATTAAGGAAATCTATTTTATTTTTAAGTTTCTACTCCGGTTAAGTCTTCTGCCAGATTTCCTTTATATCTATCTCTCCCTAAGTACTCTCACATTCTGTACTTGCAGACCCTGGTTTATTCCCATGCTTGTTTTATGAGGTGAGTGAAATTTAATTCAAACATTAAATAACATGTTGTAGATGAGGGTCAGCATTCTAGCAGTAGAAATATCACTGAATTCATTTCCCTATGACTGAGAAAACTTACACCTGAAAGCTAAACAACACCTTTCTACACTGTAATTTTTTTCTAAGATTTAGTATGAAAATGGAGTCTCTGTTAAAAACAACGTTCTTAAATAACAGGTTTACAATAAGATAGCAAGAAGTAACTGTCACTTACAAAATCAATCAAATCTGCTTCTTTTCCCCACCATCATCCTTGGGCACCCTCTGTTTCCTAATTCATAAAATGAGGTGGTTGGAGTAGACACCTCCAAAGTGTCTTCCAGCTCTAGCACACTAGATCATGATTATTTGAATCACATTACTGCCTAACAGCCAGGGGCAAAGGGTGGCTGGGTAAATCGTGACATATGAGGTCCTGTCCCTCTGTCCTAAGATTCTGCCTTCAGTACAAATATAACAGTTGCACTGTTACTCTGTAGAGATGATTACTTTAGAGAGTTAAGTTACACAGTTACATCAGCTGTGTAATTTTCTCGCTTGTTATTTAGCAACATCGATGACAGATTTAGTCAAATTACAGCTGTTTTTTCAAGGACAAAGACAATGTCATGCACATATAGTGTTTGGAAGCAATGAGTCATGTATGGTTAATGAACCACGAAACCTTTCTCTTTTTAGACATTATAAAATGCAGAGCCACATCCTGCTTTTGATTTGTTTGCTCTTTGTGATCTAACCCTTCAGGTGTGAGCTATTTTTATATGTGCTATCCATCTAAGATTCTCTCTAAGAATACCAAAAGAGTGGAGGGATGGTGGATGCCTTTGGAAATATCTTTTTCTTTAGTCTTAAATTCAACCATGTAGTTTATAAGTGTTTGTTGTTTCTTTTGCTCTCACTGACCTTATTGCTGGCATTGGGCACAGAGATACTTGGATCAACTTAATTCAACTCAACTAGAATCAATTGAATTCAATTTAATAAATATTTGCTAAATGCTCAGCGAATTAGACTCAAAAATTTAGTCTATGTTTCTAAGGGATTGTTTAGCATTTACTGTTTAATAAAAGGAAGTACACTGGTTAAGCAGAAGTAAAGTTCATGATTGATACAAATTGGGGTGGTTAAGAGATTGAAAAGAGGAATATATAGGCTGTGTTTTTAACTATGACATAGAAGTATATAATATTATGAAAAACAATCCACCTTATAACTCCATGATTTGGTTTTGCTTCAGTTATTGAAAATAATTTAACAGTCTTTATTGCTTCTTGAACAATTATAATTCCAAAGCAGGAAAAATGTCTGGCACATGGTCACTGCTCAAAAAATACTTGTTGAAGCAGTTAATAAATCAGTGGATCTATGTCGTTTCATTTGGTTTAATTTTTTTCCTTCCAGGTCATTGTTTTCAGTGACCATCTAAATGGTAAAATCATTCATACTTTTCCTTAGTTTTGAATGATTGTTAAGTATTATAAACATTTTTATTTTGACAATTGTTTTTATCTCAGCAATTTGAAAATATTCCGTTAATTTCAGGGCATCAGATGTTTTTGCTGATGAATATATTTCTGTTTTTCTAATTGTTTTAGTCCTGGCTCTCTTGTTTTGTGTGACCCTAATTCACAGTAAACCTTAATCTTGTCATTGGAAATATGAAAAAAAAAAAAAACAATTATGTATCCTACCCATTGTTGGGAGATACATTTCTTTTTGGGTCTATAGTAATCTTACTTTTCTTTCTGGGGTGTGCTATGACTGTAAGGCTCTGATCAGTTGTTCATGGGCCATTTTTAAATGTTATTTGTATGCCTAGTAACCTGAGAGATAAGATAGTTACAACTCTCCTAGCAAAAGTGCATACTTGCTTACTGCTTGCCGTAAACTTGGTGGTCCCCAGGCTGTGGGTTACCCAGCCATGACACAAACCCAACTAATATGTAGCATTCATCTGGACTATTATTTCACATCACTCTCAAAGGACCTCGAGAAGGCAAGTAACAGGAATATGCTGATGTTCATGCTGCTTGTGCCATGAGTAATACATTCCTTGGCCTCTGACCCAGGAATCTCTTGGTTTCTGCCAACATCCCTCAGTAATAACAGGCTTATTTGTTAGTTTGTAAGTTGGGCAAAATCCAGTACTGGACCTATCACATACATTGAGGGATATTGTAAGGATAAATATATTTGTGTATGTGAAAGTAATTTCAGTGTTGTAAAATGCTATGTATATTAATAATAATCTAGGCAGAGAAAAGCTACTTCCTAGAGAAAATCAGACATAAACTTCTTTTGAATGGAAGACCAAGACCACTTGTGAAGTAATCTTGAGAAAGCTAATAACCTATCAGAAACAAAAACCCTGAACATATACCTAATCAAATCTCTAAATCATGCTACCAATTCAAGGGAGATGGAAGAGAGAGAGGAACATGTCAAGCAATACCACTGGGATGAAATCAGTAAAACCTAGTCTATGAGAAACTGCTGGAACAATTGACTCAACGTTTTACACAAATAAATCATAAGGAAAAAGTAGAGAAAGGAGGCACTTACAGATTATATAAAACTCAAGAAATATGACAACTAATTGCAATATATAAACTTTATTGACATTGATTTGAACAACTAACCTAAAATTTTATGAGACAACCCAGGAAATTTGAACAAATACTAGGTATTTTATAATAAGGAGGAAGTACTTAATATCTTAGTATAATTATGTTGTTGTAGTTAATGTCCTCTTATGATATATTTAAAAGTATATGCGGATGAAATGAAATGCTATCTTGGAGTCAGAATTATCTGGAAGTGGAAAGAAATTGATAAGCATAGACATAAGATTTGCCAGAACTTGATCATTGTTGCAACTACTGATTAGTATTAAAAATATACTAATGAAGTAGTATTCACTATACTATACATTTTATATATTTGATATTTCCATAATAAAGATTTAAAAAATCACTTCTGCTGCTTCATGGAAAAAGATTCTCTTTATTTCTTCTATCGTTAAATTGCTGAATTTAAAACTAGGTCTACTGGCAAAAACAGGTTTTATGAATCTGGGGTCTTGTTTAATAAGACTGACTGTTAATAATGTTAACGCAAATGATGATGCAAATATCAAAAGCCAAATAATTTGTGAAGCACACAAACCAAATGGATCAAACTAACCTGGATTATATGAAAACAATTTGAGGAGGCAGAGAATTGGGCCAGAGTAAAAGGGCATATGAATTGGAAAGGAAGAAAGAAGTAAAATTAGCTCTGTTTACTGATGACTTGACCTTATATGTAGAAAGCCCTAAAGATACCACACAAAAAATCCCACTGCACCTAATGAGAAAATTCAGTAAGTGACAGGACAGACAAAATCAGCTTAGGAAAATCAGTTGTGTTTCTGTACATCAAAAATGAACAATCTGAAAAGAAACGATGGAAACAATTTCATTTATAATACCATGAAAAAGAATAAAATACTTAGGAATAAACCTAAATAAGGTGGCAAAAGACTTGTACACTGAAAACTACAAAATGTAGCTGAAAGAAATTAAGGAAGACACAAATAAATGGAAAGGTAGCCCATGTTCATGAATTAGAAGACTTAATATTGTCAAAATATCCATACTACCCAAAGCAATCTATAAACTTAATGCAATCCCTATCAAAATCCTGATGGCATTTTTTTACAGAAATAGAAAAATTCATTCTAAAACTCATAGGGATTCTTCAGGGACTCCAAAGTAGCCAAAACAGTTTTGAAAATGAAAACAATTAAAGGGCTTACATGTCTTGATATTAAAATATATTACAAAGTTACAGTAATCTAAACAGTGTAGTCCTGGTATAAAGATAGACAAATCAAGGGAATAAATTTAGGGAGTCGAGAAATGAAACTTTCTGTACATGGTTTTCAACGGAATGCTAATGTCACTCAATAGGGAAAGACAGTGGGTCTTGAGATATTTGCACAACCATGTTCATAGCAGCACTATTCACAATAGCCAAAGAGGAAGCAACTCATATTTTCATCAGTAAATGAGTGGACAAAGCAAATGTGACATATACATACAATGGAATATTATTTAACCTTAAAAAGGAAGGGAATCCTGTCGCCTCCTACAACATGGATGAACCTTGGGGACATTATGCTAAGTGAAATATGTCGGTCAAAAAAGACAAATACTGTGTGTACTCATATATATATATATATATATATATATATATATATATATATATATATGTATGTATATATGAAGAATAAAAGCAAGCTCCATTCTTGGATATATAAGTAAAAAAGCTATATCTTCATGCCAATATTACCACAATCAACCAATTCTTATGTAAATAAGAACATAATAAATTTGTGGAGGGATTTGTAGTCTGGAGAGTCCTATTCCAAGGGAACTTGAGTGGAGTTCCCACGAACGTGAAGAGGAAATAAATATGTAGAGGAAAATTACTGATAAGATACGTGGAAGGGTTTAGGTTATGGGTAAAAAGGAATACATTGGTAATATCCCCCTTGTTACTGATTGCGTTTATTTGAGTAGTCTCTCTTTTCTTCATTAGTCTAGCTAGCAGTCTATTTTATTATTTTTTTTTCCAAAAAACCAGCCCCTGGATTCATTGATCTTCAAATGTGGTACATATACACCATGGAGTACTATGCAGCCATAAAAATAACATAATCCTGTCCTTTTCAGGGACATGGATGGAGCTGGAGGCCAATATACTTAACAAACTAACACAGGAACAGAAAATCAAATACCACATGTTTTCACTTATAAGTGGGAGCTAAATGATGAGAACACATGAACACATAGAGGGGAACAACACACATTGGGGCCTGTTGCAGGGTGGAGGGTGGAAGGAGTGAGAAGATCAGGAAAAATAACTAATGGATACTAGGCTTAATACCTGCGTGATGAGATAATCTGTACAACAAAACCCCCATGACACAAGTTTACCTATGTAACAAACCTGTACATTTGCTCCTGAAAATAAAAGTTAAAACAAGAGAAAATACAGTCAAACATTGGATAACTTATTTCTGACTCACTAGAAGGATTTTGATTTCAGGAATGCACTTTAAATATAACAGATACATAAATACATATATAAGACTTAAAATATTGAACATTGTAATATTAATTTCTCTTACAATTGGTCAGTTAGTAGCACAATGCAGACATTATCGTAAGTGCTCAGGCAACAAGTGCTGAAGTTTTTGAAATACTTGACTCATTTGAATGGCACTTGCCAAGTGGTTTAAGTTCCTATTAGTCTCCTACTCCGCAAATATTTTGTGTTCTGGTGAACAGTTTTGACTCATGTCTAACAGCAGTTGTGAAAGTGATAGTGACAGAATTGCCAAGTATGAGTATTGTGCTGAGTTTAAAGTATAAGCTTCATGGCAGCTTGTGGTCTCTTGATTCTGTAGAGTTATTTTTTGACTTGTTTTCATAGGAAATTTATGAGTAATGTAATCGCTGAATTCTTATTTGTAGATACTTTATTTTTAGTTCTATGATTTGCATTTTTAAAAATAGGCTCAATTTCTCTGTGAAATTCCCTATCTTTTTATATATTTCTACAGTGGTTCTTTATGTCCTTGGGCATATTAATCATAGTTATTTTAAAGTTATTTGTCAGACAACTTGTTGTAAAGATCATCTGTGGGTCCATTTAGATCTTGGATTTTGGTCATCTGTTCCAATCTTTTCATGTATTTCGTAAGTTTTGCTTGAATTGTGTATAACAATTATAGAGGCACGATATAATATTATTTTCTATAGAGTAGGTTTACTTTCTTTTTTTTCTTTTTTTTTTTGGGGGGGGCGCGGAGTCTCACTCTGTAGCCCAGGCTGGAGTGCAGTGGCGTGATCTCGACTCACTGCACGCTCCGACTACCGGTTCACGTCATTCTCCTGCCTCAGCCTCCTGAGTAGCTGGGACTACAAGTGCCCACCACCACGCCCAGCTAATTTTTTGTATTTTTAGTAGAGACGGGGTTTCACGGTGTTAGCCAGGATGGTTTCGATCTCCTGACCTCGTGATCCGCCCTCCGCGGCCTCCCAAAGTGCTGAGATTACAGGCGTGAGCCACCGTGCCTGGCCGAGTAGGTTTACTTTCAGTGGGCTAAAAGTAGGGTGGTAGCTAACCACCTTAAAGCAATCATGCATGAATGAGGCTGAATAAAAGCAGAGTTGTGACTTTTTAATTTTTTTTTTTTTATTTTTTGAGACGAAGTTTTGCTCTTGTTGCCCAGGCTGGAGTGCAATGGCACGATCTTGGCTTCCAGGTTCCAGCAGTTGTCCTGCCTTAGCCTCCTGAGTAGTTGGGATTACAGGCATGCGCCACCACGCCTGGCTAATTTTTTTGTATTTTTAGTAGAGACGGGGTTTCTTCATGTTGGTCAGGCTGGTCTCAAACTCCCGACCTCAGGTGATCCGCCCGCCTCGGCCTCCCAAAGTGCTGGGATTACAGGCATGAGCCACTGTGCCCGACCTAAGGATTGTGACCTTCTTAAGGTCCACTTTACCTCTGGTTTATTCCAGCCTTCCAGAGTTTCTGTTAATAGTTTGGCGGACCATCCAGGGTTCCTCCTACCGGTAGTTTTATACTCTGATACTTGTCTCTTGAGACTACTGAAAGGGATGTGTTGCTTTTCGCAGGCTTTCTGCTTAAATTTTTAACCCTTACTCTACATTACACAGCCCCAGAATTCAACAGATATCTCGAGAGAAAATTTGACATCTGGATTTTCTTTCCCCACAGTGGCATATCTCCGTGGGTGCAATCCTGGGTCTCAGTCTGCTGTTTGAACCCCTAGCTGGCAAATACTAGTGCAAGTAAAGGGCAAGTTAAATCTGCTATATAAATCAACTCATCTTTTTAAGACCTTCCCCTGTCTGAATTGTCGCCTCTCCAGTTACTGTCTCATCAGATTGGTGTCACTGTCTCAAAGATGATTGGTGCTTGCTAATTTGATTTCTAGTATGTTTCCAGTGGAAAACATACTGTACTCCATCCCACAGTGAAGTGGAGGATCTTCCTCTGAATCCTTCTGTATATGTAATTTTGGTTGGTATATCTTGGAGTGTATTTCCTTTCTCTCGGATCTACAGATGCTATTCTGGTGTATTCTAACTTCCAGTGAAACAAGTAGGAAGTTATTATCTGTCTGATTATTTTACAACTGTAAGTAATTATATCCTTCAGTCTGGAAGCTTGCAAGGTTTTCTTTTTACCTTAGATATCAGGTCTCTTCCATAATGTGCCTAGGTATATGAATTTCTTTCCCCATCAGTTTTCTTAGAACTTCATGAATCCTTTTAATATTTTTAGAAAAAAATTTCTCTATATTTAATTATATTTAGTTATTACTCTTCTCCTTTTAAGGCCTTTTCTGTTTCTGGACAACCATTATTTACTTGCTAGATGTTGGGGACTTACTTTCCAAAAGAGATTTGGAATAACAGTAGTTTTCATTATAATTTCCATTTTCTCATACAGACTTTATTTCTTTCATTTGAGCATCCAGGTGTCTTATATGCCTCTCTACAATGATCAGTTCTATAATGTCCATAAATATTAAGTTGGCATATATATCATTAAAAATTATAGTCTTTTACATTACTCTTAAATCTCTTTAATAATTGTATGCAAAAATATCATTAGGGAAATAACTGCATAAATATAGTTGAGAAAGCACACAAAAAACCAAAACAGATTAGAGAAGTGCCTTATTGGGTATCTGAGCATACTGTATAACCAGTATAACTAAATTTGTATGTCATAAACAGACAAGTGGTACAGAATTAAATACCCATGTGTTTTGACAACTTAATAAAATTCTATTTTAGGCTAGTGAGAATAAGATGATTTTTTTGTTGTTGTTAGTAAGATGAATCTTTAAATGACTGGTTCTGGAACAATTGACTATCCATCTGGAAGAAAATAAATTTGGATCCTAATCTTGCATAATATTTAGAAACAAATTCCAGATGGAATACAACTTTATGTAAAAATGTAAACAATAAAAATCCTGCAAGAAAATTTTGAAGAACACATGTAGAGTCTAGTGATAAGAGGACAATATTGAATAAAACTAGAAAAAATAAGCTATAAAAAAGATATTCTATATGAAAATACAAACACTAAAAACTTTTGTATGGCAAATTATACTTAAAGTTGATAAACAAAAGTAATTTTGGAAAATATTTCACTGCAGAGGAAAGATGTCAAAATAAAAATCATCCCTGCAATTGACAAAAAAAAGTCAAGTGATTCAATAAACAGTGGAGACAAGACATGAAGAGGAAATTAATGAGAACCTATCCAGATATCACAGAATACTATATATGACAAAAATGTTCAGACTCACTGTAATTTAGGGAAGTGAAAATTAGTTACCATAGCATTTCATATCAATCAGATTTACAGTAACATACACAAGATACACATATTGCTGATGGGGATACAGGCAAGAGGGGTGTCATGGATCTTATTTCTGGTGAAGATGTTGAGCATTTGAGCTTTAAGAGTCTCATGATACTAAATATTCTATATATTTTAAAATATATGTTAACTAGGTTATGTGAATCAGTTAGAAAATATTTCATAGAAATAGAAGTACTATGAAATAAGGATCTCTTTACAAACATGTTTGTTGCAATATGTTACACAGTGACAACAAATTAAAACATAAACCACTACAGAATACAAAGTTCATATCCTTCAGTAGTGAAATTCTTAAATTATGATACAATAATAGTATGAAATATTACGCAGTCATTAAAAGTAATGAATAGGAGCCAACCAGGTTAATTTGGAGAGCTTTCCTTAAGTTGCTATTGACTGAGAAAATCAAGATACAGAAAAACATGTTTCCATTTTTACAAAACAAAGCTGATCTCTGTTGATGCTTGTGTATTATTATTTAAGGATAGAAGAAATTTGGAGAATTTTACCTGAGTGAAGGAAGGTAAGTAGTAAAATAAAAGATGCGGTATCGAAGTCAGAAAGAAACAGCAAAATTAGAATATAATAATAATTACACTTTATACAATCATATTTATGAATTTATATAAAATCATATTAATGCAAGTGTGTTTAGGAAAACAATATTAAAATAAGAACCTAGGCTTTGAAAAAATTATTCATGTGGGAGGGTATAATTTGGTAATAAATCTGAAAATAAAAACATTCTGTAGTATGGATTACCTGAGATACTCATTTGGTGAGTAAAAATTTGGAGGCTCAACTCTTGGTTGACATTAAGATTATTTTCTCAGCTTTACAAACCAAGCTCGAGAGAGAAGAAATTGACAGGGGCAAGATTTTTTCTTATTCTCATCTTTTAGTCATGACTAATAAATACAGTTGATTTAAAAATCTAACAATAGAAGATGTGCCAAGGAAGATTCCCTGTCTTTTGTTCTGAATGGTAAGTTCGATTCTTGTCAACTTTTACCCTTTAAACCAACTTTACACTATGGCCCTTAGTGGCTGGATCAGCAGTATAGTCACTTCACTTTCCAAAGAGATAGCTTCACATTAGATACCAATTATCTCTTTATACATTTTCTCTAAAATACATGTACATTTTCTTTTTTGTAGTTTGTAATTTGGGGTCTCTCAGGCCAACATTGCATGTGGGAGAACAGACATTAGACGTTAGGAAGAGATATTCTCATATTCATCACTGCCACACTCTTTGTCAACCTGTGAAGCAATCTATTAGGAATTGTATTGATTTTTTGAAGCATTTATTGAACTCTCATCCTTTGACTCTGTGGGAAAGTACTTGATTATAGTCTAACTTTATAATTTCTATCTAGATACATGTTACTGATGCTTGTGAGTAACTTTCCCCTTAATATGAGTTTGGAAGTCAGAGTTAGTAGAAGCAATTTTTGGATGAATTGTGTAACAATACCCATTGGGATAAAACAGTGGTACACTTCAGTTCCGCTTTTAAAATCTTATAAATTACCATTTTTTAACAGGTTGGAGTAAAATATGCAAAGTTTTTTCTTACCATTGAAAGAGAAAATAAAAATAATTATCTTGTGAATAAATGACAAGGCTTTATTTCATGAATTAGGTATTGTGTTAATAGACAAAGTGTTTTTCATTTATTAGCTGCCAGGAAGTGAAATCTTCCTATTCCTCCTCTCCAATCAATCACGGAGTCTCGCTAAATTTGTTTTCTGTCTCTTGAATCTATCCACACCTGTCCAGTCCTACTGCCATTACCCTAATCCAGACCATTATTGGTGCTTTCCTGACTTCTGAGCTAGGGCAACAAAAATTCAAATCAGATTATATTGTCCTACTACTTAACATCCTTCAGTGAGTTCTATTTATCTTTGGATGAAATCCAAACTTCTTCTTATGTTTTACAAAGCCTTCTATAATCTTGTTCCTGCCTCTCTCTCTAACGTTAACTCTTACGGATATACTAAATTTCCTTTAATTATGTTAAAGCTTTATAGTCACATGCTATTCCCTGTGCTTGGAACAATCATCACCTTCCCTCTCTCATCTTTTACCCTTGCCAACCTGTGAGGCTGTCTGTGATCTCCTTGTCTAGCTTAGCATTTTCTGCAATAATGTCCCATAATACCATGTATTTCCATAATAAGTATTACAATAAAATACAAATAACATTGCATTATAAAAATGTGAATAGTATCTGTATCAGCTCTGACACAATCAGTTTAAGATAGAACAAGGACAGCTGTATCTTTTTATTGCCATATTTCACAGTGCAGAGGATAAAGAAAAACATCAATTTTTCAAAGAATGAATGCATTAATGAACAAGTGAGTGAAGAATATATATATTATCTATTTATGCAGATTTTCTAAAATCTATTCCACAGTTAAACAGATTGTCAGAGAACTAGGTATTTGGATGACAACACTTTGACTCTATCTATATCAATTTGTTTATCTGAAATCTGCTTGGGTGTTACGCTATCATCTTGCATATTGTTTAACTTCTTAGGAGGTTGTGTTCACCCTATTACATTAGTCACAAGGGACAGCTGGTTTCCTTTTACTTATATAGATGCTGTGAATCATATAAGTAAGTAATCTAGCCTCCCTCTTTCTGTTGGCTTCTGAAAAGCTCAAATTGAAATATCTATCTGACCTCTCTCAAAGATGCTAGGTTTCAAAGGAATACATTTTATATATTAACTCAAACCCAGCTTTTATTTTAATTTCCAGTAGTCTCTACTTCATTGTTAGATGTATCTCACTGTGCTAAATTGTGGGTATTTTTTTGTTTTGTTTTGTTTGTTTTGAGACGCAGTCTCACTCTGTCACCCAGGCTGAAGTGCTTTGGCAGTCTCGGCTCACTGCAACCTCCGCCTCCTGGGTTCAAGTGATTCTTCTGCCTCAGCCTTCCAAGTAGCTGGGATTATAGGCACCTGCTACCATGCCCAGCTAATTTTTGTATTTTTATTAGAGACAGGGTTTTACCATGTTGGCCAGGCTGGTCTCGAACTCCTGACCTCAAGTGATCTGCCCACCTTGGTCTCCCAAAGTGCGGGGACTACAGGTGTGAGCCACCATGCCAGGCCAAAATTGTGGGTATTTTTGGAAGCCACTTTGCATCCTCCAAGCCATGGGAAATTTGGGTTGGAGTAAATGAGGAGGTAAGGGAGTCAAGGGGTACCAAGAGGAATGAGCAGGTTCTAAAATGTGTAGACTTCTTAACTGCACTAAGCAGCATTTTCACCAAGGTGATAATGAGTACATTAAGATACAGTAACTCCTTTCTTAAAAACCTTGTAATAGCAGTAGTCTATTTTAAAAAGATTAGTAAGAAGTTTTAAAAAATATTAGAAATACAAAGAAAAATATTTTTATTTCAGTAATCTCCAGGAAATCCATTACATATCTGGTTGGAAAGTTACTCCACTGAGTTTGTAGAATTTGTGTTCTAGTTTTTAGTTCTTCCATCTTTATGGATGCCCAAATTAATGCCAAACTCAAGAAGAATTCCTTAAGAAATTCAGGCAGACAAATGCCATGTTGATCTTTGAAAACTCACAGTTTCTTTGAGCTTTATGTTTAAGTAAGTTAACGTTTTAAACGTGTATGTCAATATAGTTAAATACTAATGATCTCCTCCTATATCCTTTTGAGATTCTATTTTTTTATCTAGACCATCATTAAAATTATTTTAGCATTGTCTAAATATGCTACTAACTTACTTTGTGACATTCTTTAAGTCATTCATTTCCTGGCCTCAGTTTTTTCATTGAAAAAAATAGAATGAATAAATTCTAGGAGTGCTTTAGTAAAGAACATATATGATTGGTAAGCCCATATACCTGTACATTAATGGATTTAGGGATGAGTGCATGTTTCAAACAAGGCCAATCAGAGTACTTTTCTGCTCAGGTCTCAAAAACACAATCATCATTACTTTGTGCACATAAATTGTAAGGGTAATTTACTGATGCTATTTATGACCACCTTACTTGGCCACATGGAAGAAACCACTGAAAATGGGAAGGCAATCAACAGGGAAAGAAAATCGTATCTTAGAAATACAGAGAGAGCTCAGATAACATTATTGGAGCTCCTGGATCCAGACACACCTGAAGTCAGACATCTTTGTGGGCTTTTCTATCACATGGAATCAATATGTTCTTTATTTGCTTGAGCTAATGCTTTTTGTTTCTTGCAACTCAAAGAGTCAAGACTATTAAAGTCTTTGTCTCTATGATTCTATGATGTCTTCATACAAAGACTGCTAATAGAGTAACTTAATAATTGAATAATCACTGAAAACTGTCCAATAATCCTGATAACTTCTTCAAATATTAAGATGTGTAAGAGGAGGATTCTTAGTTAATGGAGTTTACAATCTGAAAATGGGAGTAATGTTGTAATAAAGTATTATGGAACAAGAAATATGATTTAAATAATTTTCTTTTGGAATAAATAATCTCAATATGATACATGTGGTTCAAGTATAAAAAAATTTAAATTAGCATGAAAAGAGTCATGTTTTATTAAAATAGGTCTCTTCAAGTGCAAGAATGATAATTTCTCCTAATTTGGAGTAATTAAAATCTGCACACCTAATACAGGGTAACAGGAATTTGATTTTATCATTTTACTGATTCAAGCCAAGCCTAGCCATGAATACGACTTTGTATAATTTTCTCACTGGGATCATTTCCGAGTGTTATTTGCTAACACAAAATCTTTGTGAAAGTAAGCTTTCACCAGCCGAATGGGGCTTACATCAAGCTCTAAACCTAGAGCAAACAAGTTACTGTTCTCAGAACATTTTCCTTGGATTTGTAATCAAACAGATCTACTTTGAAACAGCCAAGTACCACTGCTCTGAAACAGAAAACTATTATTTAAAAATAAATAGGCAGTTTTTCTTTCTCCAAGTTAAATATGTTCTGCTTTTCTGAGAGAACTCTTTTCCAATTTACCCTAAAACAGATTAACCACATTTTAAAAATTATCTGCGGTTGATACTTGCAGAATTCAAATTTCTTATTATTTCATAGCCTAACGTCTTTTAAGTTAAAAAATTATTTAAATTTTTTCCCATTTCATAGGATGCCAAGTGTGGCCAAAATGAAATCATCTTGAAAGAGTGGCTTCTAATAATTCTCCATAAATACAACTCCTTTATAATATAAAGCTTTTTTAAAAAAAATCCCATGCTTTAAGTATCAGTGTTCTGAACATTTAAATATAGACTTGGCTTTCTGAATGTGGTTTATTCTCATTATTATTCTGGAAATAAAAGACATATGAAAGCAAGGAAAAATTCTGGTGTGTCTCTTTTGAGGTAATATTCAGAAACATCTTTAACTTCAGGACCACTGATAGTTCAGAATGAAGACTGAGGTATGAGTTTTGACTGGGTAATCATGTGAACCAAGCCCCTGAACTCTCCTATAGGAAAAAAATCTGGAAATGTAAAAGCATATTGTAAAGTGAATTTTGTAGGATCCAAGGATATGCATCAAATATTTCCAGCACATCCTATTTCAATTTATTTTTGGCTATGATAGATCATTCTTAACTTAGGCACAAAACACGAAAAAAAACAATGTGGAAAATGATTAATTAGATTTAAGACATAAAATAGGAATTATGACATAGCCAGGGACGTTTATGCAAGCACACATCATTAATCAAATTTAGAGGGTCAGTTGCATATTCAGTTAGAAACAGTGGCTCCTCTGGTAGTTATGAGGTCATGAAAGTCTCAGTTTGAATTTTCTTGACTTGTTTTTGACATTAACCTTAATGCTCCAAGTACCAGCATGACTCGTTTTCTTTATACCTTGGATTGACCCAAAAATGGTAACTTGCAATAGAGGGAGGCCATAAAAATAACTTAAAAGTTTTGAAAATTAATTTGACAGGAAGATTTTCCACTACTTTTATACTGCTTAGCAATCTTTTCTCTATCTACTTTTGGCAGTTTTCTTTTCCTCAATATTTTCTGTATTTAAAAGAATCATGAAGGTATGAAATAAGGAAAATAATAGAGATTTGACTCTAATGATTGATAGACAGCTGTGAGTTATCCATTTAGAATTTAAAGCCCTAAAATATTTTATATACACTTTTTTGCATTTGAATGCCATTTATATTTGCATTAATTTCTCAAAGATATTTAGTTCTAGAGACAGCAATGGATAAAAATACTGTGGGATTAAAATGTCTCCACTGAGAATTGTATTCTGTTTTGACTAATAGAAGATAAGACCTAAGGGGGCTGTCATATGATTTTGTTCTGCAGAAACCACACTCTGGTTAAACAAATATTTCATAATAATAAATTTGAGATTTAACTCCATGACTACATTCAGCAATTCAGAAAACAGTAAATGAATCTTTAATGATTTCTGTAGTGAGTCTGTCTGAATACCTTCTGATAAAACTTAAACATGTCTTAATTGGAAATAATACTTTATGATATTTGACTTGTCACCTTTATGGCAGTAACTTGTTTTATCTGAACAAACTCATCTTCTAGAAATACCTTTGGTCTCTCACATCAGATATCTTAAGTAAAATGATTTCTGCTTCAGAAAATGTATTGTGGCAATGTGACAATTCTCTTTGAGTCTTCTGAACATAGATCTTGACATATGGGCATTCCTAGTCTCTTGAGAGCATGGCTGCAGTGCTTTGCGTAGACATACATTACATCTGTTTCCATTCCTAACTTAGATTCTTTGCTGTATGAGAAGGTGGCTCTGCATAGTAAACGTCTCGGGAGGGTGCATTTTATTTCATTTTTAAAAATGGTTTATTTTTGTGGATTTAGGGATACAAGTGCAATTGTGTTACATGGATGTAACATGGATGTATTGCGTGGTGGCGAAGTCTAAGCTTTTCGTGTATTCATCACCCGAATAGTGTGCATTGTATCCAACAGGCAGTATTTCATCCCCCAACTCCCTTCTAACCTCCTATCTTTTGGAGTCTCCAGTGTTTATTATGCCACTCTGTCTGTCCATGTAATGCTGTGCTTATGAAATTTTAGTGGACGTCTTTGAATGTGAGGCGGAACACTATGCTAACTTTCTCAAGGTACCAGCAGAACCCTGTGATCCTCCTCATAGTGGACTTGAGCTCAATTTTCCTATGGTGTATGCTCATGTTCCACTAAAGGATGTCACAAGACAAATGGAGGTCCAGGAGGTCCGGGGTGGCATTCAATGATCTTCAGCTGCATTGGATTATATGGTGATGTTTCTAAATGTTTGTCTGAATCTATATCACATCAAACATACAGTGAACAAGTGCGAAATATAGCCAGCCAGCCAGATGTTTTGCATATAATTGGGTAAACGTGTCAACATAGGGTGAAACATCTGGAAGTTTCAAGTATTATTTAACTGACTTCAAGAAAGAAGACATTGATATGAATAGCTAACTTAAAATAACCAAGTAAAAACAAAAATGTTTTAACACTAAGTGGTCACAATCTCTGAGTCCCTTCACATTTACATAAAACAGGGTGGAATGTTTAAGGCACACCACCATGCAGGTGTGTGGGGTGTGGTGGGGGAGCAGCTTCTTTATTTTGTGTAATCTACGTAGTCGTCTTTCTGAATTCCCAGCATCTGGTTTGGAGATAGGGTGAGGGGGGATGGACAGATAGCATTTAATTGAAACAGTCTGGTTTGGTGGTGCTGCACTTCTTTTGGTCTGGATGACTGGACAGGAATACTCAGTCTTCCAGATGTGAGCTTTGCCTGTTTCTTTCTCTATGCTTTGCCTATTTGGTTGGAGGTGTGTGTAATGTATGGATCCTGAGGTAACAGGGGAAGGACTGAAATCCTTAGGTGTGGTAACTTGTAGCTCCCTCAGTGTCTCATGTGTCCTTTCATCTGGAAATGTTTGGTGGAACTTGGACTCTTCTCTTTTTCTCTCTTTATTGAGGCTCCTGGCACTCCCAGTTGACTCCAACCGTTGTCATTTCTGGCTCTCTTCCATCTAGTTTTAGTCCTGGTGGTGTGTTCTGTGTCCTCTGTGTAAGTGCTACAGAGGCTCTGTTGACTTCCCAATCAGGGCTTTCAGCTACTGTAGCTTCCAATGATGTCATCAAGGAACCGAAGGCACTTTGGAAAAGTAAAAAGATGATGCAAGCTGTGCCTGCTGTCTCAGCAGTAACTCAGGTTGGCATGCGTGTACATGCAAAGCAGCCTGGTCCCAGGATCCCAAATTGCAAATGGAGCCAGAGAAATTCCTCTCCCTCACTGTTATCTCAGTTAGCTCAGAACTGGAAAACGTGAAGAAGACATGCCTGACCTACCTGATCTCTATCTCTCCTTCTTTTCCAACATCTCTCAGGTTGGAAGGTTGTAAGATTTTCTTCTAGGTCATCGCCTCCTTCCAACTTCATGAATAATGTCCAGAAATATTTTTGCTACACTTGGGGAAAGTTCTGAGTCTATGTCATCAGGATTAGCCACTTATATGTTAAATGATAGCCACAAGGATATACTTTTAAAAAAATCGTCTTTCAAAAGTTATGTCTTGAAAGCTTTCTGTCTGGATGCAAAATCCTACTCTGAAGGTCAGAAGCAGAACGTTATCTGTCCTTCTCTTTGCATTCCTCCTGTGTCATTCCTAATCTGTCTCCTGTCTCCTTTCTCTCTCCCCCACATGATTTTTAGATGGATAAGACCCCAGACTTATTAAATCTACAAAGACTTTTACTCAAATGATAACCTCCACTCTCAAAATAATACTTTTTAAGAAAAATATTAAAGAATTCTGTGACATGAAAAGCAAGGATTTACCTCCAAGTTAACTAGAAAATATTAATGGGTAGATGACAGGGAAAAGATACTTGAAATGTCTATGATTAATGAGGATTAGAATATCCCCCAAAACTCCTGCAGAACGGCAATGAAAGTCAATAAGCCTTGTTAAAGGGCATAGGATATGAACAATTAGCCAGCCCCTAGAAGAAGAAACTCAAAGTAATAAGGACAAAAAACAAGCAAATGAAACTTGCCTAAACTCACAAGTGAAATACAATATATTAATGAGATACGTTAATGCTGGTAAAAAATTAAAGTGTAGGCATTGATGTTAGAATCTAGGAATTGTACACCCTTATGGTAAAACTAAGTATACATGTACCTAATGACCCCAAAATTCTGTCCCTTGGGATATATATTTTAAGGAGATTCTCAAACATTTCCAACAGGATATTCTAATTTTCTATTGTCATGGAACAAATTACTATTACTTTGATGGCTTGAAACAACACAGGTTTATTATCTCACAGTTTGTGTGGGTCAGAAGTCTGTGCTTGTCTTAAGTCCTCTTCTTAGTTTCTCACAAGGCAGCAATTTATATGTTGTCTGGGGCTGTGGTCTTATCTGAGACTCAGGGTTATTTGCCAAGCTTATGTCGTTGTTGGCAGAATTTGTTTGCTCACAGCTGCCGAACTCATGGCAACTTGGGTTTTTCAAGGCCAGCAGAATTGTTCTTCAAGAAAGACCACGTTCCTCTTTGGAGGGCATTCTCCCTATTAAGTAAGGCCCTCCCAGAATAATCTCCCTTTTGAGTAATTCAAAATGAACTTACTTGGGACCTGAACTACCTATGCAAAATATCTTCCCTTCTGCCTGGTAACGTGATCTAACCACAGGAATGAAATCTCATCATGTTCACAAGCCTTGCCCATATTCAAGTGGAAGAGATTTACACAACGGCATGGAAGGTCATCTTAGAATTCTGTCTTCTACAAAAATATGCATGAAAATATTCACTGGAGCATTGTCTGTCATGGCAAGATGCTGGAAGCACTCTAAGTCCCTCATGAAAGAATGGAGAGATGAGAAATGAAAAATGTATTCCAAAGAAAACTATGCTGTTTTAGAATCAATAGATTTTATGTATTTGTAGCATCATGAATAAGTATGAAAAACACAGCATTGAGTAAAAAGGGTATGAAACAGAATGCAATCTATAGCATAATTCCATTTATATATAATCAGAATACATGTAATTAAGATCATATACCTTTTACAAGGACATATAAAGAACAATGAAAGAATACCCATAAACATAGTATAGTGAGGAGAATCAGAATGGAGTTAAGAGAATATAATGAATTAAATAAGTCATATATAAAATTCTCAGTAGACAGCACTTTTGTACTCTGTTCAGTATTCATTTGATATACATACTATATTAAGGCTGTAGTTGATACCCTGACAAGTATGTAATTCATGTTATGCAGCATATGCAGTGATATATATTCTTCATAACTTGGAGCTACTTTGGCACTTTAATACACTTGGAAAATGCCACCTGGACTTATGAAAGTGACCATAATGGGAATTGAATTAATAACATTTGCATTTTTTTATGCTTTCAAAATTATATACCACCCTTGTCTTTATTTTTATTGCATGCGCATTATAGGTATCTTTGCATTGACTTCAAACTCTAGTACATGTAAAATTTTAGGACTACCTTTGGTGTCCTTAAAAATTAAATGTAAATTTATATGCACCATAAATTATGAAATGTCGTACTGTCTAAATCCTTCATTCTTAATGCCTTTTGACTTCAACTGAAACCTCAGATAGCAAGAAATCTCAGGCACACGGATCGTGCTGTGATTTCAGCTGGAGAAGGGGTCTTCCCAGGAATAGGGCAATGTATATTTGATCAAAAATCATAGAGATTAAGAGAACTTCAAATTCCCTTTCCCGGAGACTTTTTAGTGTCCCAAGTAGAATTATATGCCTAAATTATACAGTCTGTCTGACGTGTTGATTGATTTAAGAAAGAAAAATTTTTAAAAGTTTTATTTCACCTTGGACAAGAATGGATTCAAAAGTTTCTTACCAGTAAAACATTCAGAAAATTTCCTTGCTTTTTAAATGTCATGTCTTAGAAAATATATTGGAATATATGAACTATTAATGAAAATTTTATTTATTTTTTTCTTCCAGATAAATATAATTGTGGACAGAGGCTTGTAGATTGTTTACTATAAGGAGTAATTTTTTTAGAAGTATATACATATTATGCTGTAAGATGAGAAGTTTTTTTTTTCAAAAGGCATTTGCTATTTAGATTTAAAGTAAGATATTGATTTAAAATTACAGGATTCACTTTACTGCTACATTAATATATGTAGTAAGAAAAATGGTAGTGTATATGGCCTCTTCCTTTCTTTTATCTCTTTTTATTTCCTACTCTCCTGCTACTTAACACAAATGATTGAGCAATGCATATATTCCAGGATATAGGAATTATGCTGTCTTCTTCCACTAAGCTTCCATTCTGGGTAGCCAGTCTACAGGGCTTCCTGTGAAACTATAGCAAGCAAGAGAAGGGAAATGTCTTTGAAAACCTGGGAGCAGCAAAGATGACTGAAGCTAGAAAGAGCCAGGAATGACTTCACAGAAAGCAGAAATCATCAGGACTGAGTTTAGAAAGGTGGCCCTGGGGTAAGGGGTCAGCTTAGGAAAACTCCTGTCGTCTGCTGAGCAGTGAGAATGTCGGCTTCTAGAGAGAAGAAGAGGCGGTTTTGTATACAGGGGTGACTAGTACTGACTAGGTAGGTGGAATGAGGGCAGTGTGTAGACTGGTGTAAGATGATAAGAGGAAATGGAAAACATCCTCAACAGAGTTTTCAGGAAGCAAATGAAGTTTTAGAATGTAGGATTTAAGAACTTTAACTTCAACATCAGGAAGAAGAATCTTAAGAAGGTCATCTCCAGCCAGCTCTGATGACAGGAAATGAGAGTACAAGATAGAAGGTATAGGTAGGATGGGATGACTAAATAGAAATTCAAAGAAAAACAAATCATCAGTAAAGGGGAAAAAAGTGAAAAAGGAGTAGGATAAGCTTGATGTTGGTCTGGGGAAATTGAGTTGGTATTGAGATAAGTGGTATTGTCATATGCAGAAATATAATGGAATTGGGGGAAAGAAGTAAACTTGATGTCTGTATTAGGTAGTGTTTTAACAGGGTTGGGAAGTAGAATACTTAGAATATATTCTCACATATACATAGGTATCTTTAATATATTGTGCTATTACTATAATTCAGTGTTGAGTTCTGTTTATGGTTTATTAATCTCACTGTATTTTTTAATTGCAATGCTAGTAAACACATCTTGTTAAACTTCAATATGAGTTTTTCAATGTCAATGACACTTTTGGCAGGGCTTACCTATTTTAAAGGGGATTTTGCTTTAGTACATTTTCTCATTGTTAATCGGTCATTAATACTAAACAGATATAATGAACATGGTAGTACACTCTATGATATTTAAATCCTTTTGGGAGCATTTCTTTTCCTGGTCACTCAAGCTTTCATATAAATTTCTAGGCATATTCTTTTTACTTTCATTAAATTATATTATAGCAAATCAGCTGAATCCAAATAATTACACTGATAAGTTGTATTTATATGTTCCTTTGTATTTTCCCAAGTCATTTTATATACATTATGTCATCTGAAAGAAACTAAAATATTACACAGGAACTGACATTTAGAAAGAATGCTTTATTTGCACAGCTGTCTGATAGGGAGGTTTGTTGTAGCCAACTATATTTCCTATGCACCTGGTTCACCTGTTTTTATAGGAATATTTTAATTCTTTACTTTTCAGTTTAAGTGGCAGCAATATTTTTGAAATGACAGTTCGACTTGAAAGTGAAAAAATATAGTTATTTCCACCTGGAGGTCATTTTTGTCCATTTTACTAAATGTGCTCATCTTTTTTAATCTTTTAGTGGAAAAAAATGCCAAGAGACCTGGTAGTATCTTCTGTGGCACTCGTGATTTTTTTTTTTCACACTTTCTCAAAAAGTGCTTACTACAAAGAATCCAACTTCCCTTCAAGTAATGCTTTTTAATGAAAACAATTATTTTCTGAATTTTGACTATCTGCTGAACAGTTTCCACTATGACAAAACCCAAGACAAGATCCGTAAGAGTTTTACATTGCTTTCAAAATTTTGATTTCCGTAAGATACATCTGCTTCTTTTTTGAGGAGTTTAAGGAAATCAAGCTTTTCATATCATTAATTTATTTCTCCTCTGCTGGTAAAAATACAGGTACTTTATCCAAGTACGTGATGCTATTGCCTTGGGAAACAACAGAGACAAACGCTTTAACTCCCATTTTATGTCCACCCTCTTAAAGATTAAATATTGGTGGGAAATTTGAAATCACTCTGGGGTTGCAGCTAACTTCAGTTTCTGTCAAGCTCCCTGTTCCTTGTCTTGGACTTCATATTAGCCACATGTATCCTGGTCATTTACCAGTAATGAGGTGAAGATATTTTATCTTCAGACTTTTGGGGTTTAAGTCAGGATTTTAACAACTTAGGTACTGCTCTTTATTTCAATTTCTTCACCTAAAATGGGAACAATAATAGTCCTTAACTCAGAGAGAGAGAGCTATTGTGAGGAGTAAATGAGAGAATGTTTAGAAATAGTTTTGACTAATTACTGCCATATACTCAGGGCTAGATAAATATTTCCATGATAGTCATTTTACCTAGTCCATAAATTTTACTTTGAAAAAAATACTTGCATAGTTATAATTTGACAGATAATATTAATGTTAATACAATTAGTATCTAACTTTTCCTCTGTATTATGTACACTTAACATATTTAACCTTTGTAATAATTATTTGAGGTAATTAATATTTTACAGAAAAAAATAACAAGAGGCTAAATAATATGTCCAAACTCATACAGTGCTTGTTTGCTTCAGCCCCAGAGTCGATGAGATTTCTGTAATACATACTAAAATACTGCCTTTCTGGTAATCGCATTCCTTCCTGAAAATACCCACTCATAAATCTCAGTTTATTCCCTCCCATTTTTTTTCTTGTATTTATGGGTATTATTTGAAGGGCAATACAAAATCTCTGGCTTACAATAACATCTTTTGTGAGCTCATTTCTAAACTTTTGTTTTGATCATGGAATTAATTTTGCCATAGGAACATGTATCTAAGGTGGTGGCTGTGTTTCTAAAAGAGCACAAAAGTTAACTGATATATAGAACTCTTTATTTAAAGAAATAACATTTGGCTATTTCCTTTGAATGGTGTCAGTCTTCTGACAAATATGCATTTGTGGGCCAGCTGAGGAATACAAGTGTATTTTTAAAAATACTGGTTTATGAGGAAATGCATCCTGTGGCAAATGCTGAGAAAGCAACACAGAAGATAAAGGAAAACCCAGGCTTCCAATGTCAGCTGTACTAGCTGCTTGTTGCAAAGAGGATTCTCTGCCTCTGATAGACATTGCCCAGTGTTGCATAAGCACAGCCAGGTGCTACTGAGGAGTAGCAGAAAAAAGAGGACTGGAGACCATTTCCAACTCCTCGGGACCATTGAGATGAATATGTTGACTTGCGAAGTATACACATGATTATGAATTGGCTGTTCTTAAGAGGAAATGCATGCATAATTCTAATTACACAAATTGTGAAAAGGAAGTAGTAGGAATACAGATAAAATATTTGCCTGAAGTCCTAGAAATCTTTAACAAATGCTAAATGGAATGCAGAGCATTAATAGTTTTCTTTTGTTCATTCATTCATTTAACAAATGTAATTCCTGCCTGTGAGATCTATATAGTTTGGCAGGAAAGATAGTTCAAAGGCAGTGACTCCAAATACAAATGCTTTGGTCATGGAAACAGTGGACACAATGTCAGGATTTGTGTCAGGAATATACAACTTAGTCTGGGTTAAGAGTGGTGGGGCAGAGAAAGCTCAAGTCTTAATACAGAAAATGACTTTTAAGCATACGTCTCTAGATCATTGGCTCTGGAGTCAAGAGTCAAATGTTGACTTTCCCAATTTCTGCTTTTCTGATCTTAGGCAGTTTCGTCACTGTTTTTCAGACTCCTCATTGGAAAATAGTGATGATGATAATTAATAGGAAAGTAATGAGAATCAAACAAGTTAATAACATGTATAGTGTTTAGAATAAGACTTTGTTTATAGAAACTACTCAACATATTTTAGGATATTTACTAGCTCAGCTGAGAATTGAAAAAGAGGAAAATACATGTTCTAGGTAGAAGGAAGAACCTACAGAAAAGCCTCCAGAAAATTGAAAGAATGATGTATTTAGGGAACTGAAAGAAATTCAGCCTAGCAATAATATCAAGTTTGAAGTGGGACAAGGGAGAGGGAAGCAGGAGGGTTAGTGAAGGTCAGATAACGAAGGCGTTGTGAGTTTTGTCAAAAATACAGATTTATCCTAAGATTAATGGCAGACAACTAAAGGAGTTTAAGAGTGATATGATCAGATCTGCATTTTGATATTGAGAGTGAGGAATGAAGAATGGGGTTTCACAGGAGAAGGGCTGTGAACAAGATGCAATTCAGAGATGATGGTTGTAGACAGTGGACATGGAAAACAACAACAACAAAACCTGAAAGGTTTGAGACATATTTCTGAAGATAAATTTTATCGTATGTAATCATTGCTTAAATGTGAAGTTGAAGGAGAAGCTGGTGTCTTTGATGACTGATTTACGGATTAAAAGGTTGATGGCAAAATTAACTGACAAAGAGTTAAGAGAGAAAGAGCAGGCTGGGGTCTGGATTGATAGGGCATAAATTGTGTTTTGTGGTTCTGAGACCAAAAGAGATAGGCACTAGGCAGTTGGATACGCTGGTTTGTCTCTCAAAATTGAAATTGGGTTGGGTGGGGATATTGATTCGAGCATTCGTTAGTAGACAGTAATCGGGTATTAGTGAGATGTTCAGAGAGGAAGCAGAGAAGAGGGTGTGGGATAGAACAGCAAAAAATGGGGTATGGACATGTAATGGAGATTAGGAAAAGTAGTGAATAGCTAGAAGGAAAGCCATGAGGTTGGTTTCAGAAAAAAATATTTTTTTTCCTAACAAGAAAGGAGGCAGTCATGTTGAAAGTTGCTCAGAGTTGACATCAAATTAGAACTAAAAAGTGTCCACTGAATTTAAGCATAGTTTTGAAAATTATAATTAAAAAATTCCTCCTCTACCCCCCAAATAAAATAGTAAACAACACTGTACCACATGTTCTGAATTGTATTAAATCTTTGTTTTCCTTGCCAACACATACCTACCCCAGGGGGATACATCTGAATGATAATAAATACTCTCTGACTCCTAGTGAAAACTAGAAAAACATATGACTTAAGTGAAAAAAATCAATGGATGCTTAAAAGAAAATTTTATTCAAAAAAAGTAATTTAGATACACAGACTATTAGAGCCGAAAGATGTTTTACAGTTCATCTAGTCAAACCGCTTCATTTTATTAATGAGGGAATTACAGTTTGGTGAAGTTAGCAAACAGCTTCATTTTATTAATGAGGGAATTAAAGTTTGGTGAAGTTAGCCCAAACTTATTTTCCTTTTGTTTTGTAGGGCCAACTTCTTCATTCGTTTTGACAGCAGGCTGGAATTTAAAAATTCTTTCAGTGCTTATGAAGTCCACATATAGAACATTGTATGAAAGTAATATAAGTCAAATCATTTAAGTATGTGCTAGGTATCTTCTACATAGAAATGAGAAGGAAATATCCTATGCATTTAAAAATTTTTGCTATGCTATAACAGGTTTGTTAAATAAGATTTTTAATTTCTCAGTAAACAGGATATGAAACTTTAAGTATGGAAGGAGTTAACTGAATCACTTTTCATAGGGTGAGAATGCAAAATGAATTGCACCTCACATATGTAAGAAACATACCCTTAAAACACTGGTACTTTCTATACGAGGTTTTATTTTCCCCTTTTGTATTTTTATTTTTGATGGGTTGAAGGAAGCAGCAAGTTACCAACAACAGGGAAGACAGTCCAAATAAGTCTATGAAAATCTAATTTAATCTATCTCTTTCACTATGTGAACTGTCTACAGTGCTTTAGAAAGAACTGTATTTGCCAGTGGGTTAGAGCAGTGTATTATTTTTAAATCAATCTTTCCTTTTTTCCAAGTTCCTAATACTTCTCATTCTGTTCTAGTCAGACACTTGAACGGTGGAAGTTCTCTATTATTCATCAAATACCTCAAGCTGTTCCTGTCAAGTTTCTCAATTCATTTCCTACAGATCTTCTGCAAAAATACAGCCAAGAAACTTCTCTGGCAGGCATGAGTCCATCTGATTAAAGAATATCGGAGCCAGACATTTTGCAAAAAAGGAAATGAACTGGAAACCTGTACTCTTTCAATACCTGCAGTTTGTTTACGTTATGCCAGCTGTTAGACCCTACTTCCAACAATCAGATTATTCATCTCCATCTTTTACAGCTTTCCTCGGTAATAAGGGATAACTCCTTCCCTGCAGAAGGACATATCTATAAGAAAAGCATTGTTTCTTATCCTCTTTTTACTTAGATTAAAGGCTTTTAGTTTTAATAAAGAATTATTTTTTAATAAAGAATTATTTATAAAGCATGTGACATAAGTAACTAAAAGGTTTTGAATAAATTTCAAAATGTGGGCCAGTTGCGGTGGCTCACGCCTGTAATGCCAGCACTTTGGGAGGCCGAAGCAGTTGAATCACCTGAGGTCAGGAGTTCGAGACCAGCCTGGCCAATATGGTGAACCCCATCTTTACTGAAGACAAAAATTAGCCAGGTGCAGTGATGGGTGCCTGTAATCCCAGCTACTCAGGAGGCTGAGGCAGGACAATCACTTGAACCCAGAAGGCAGAGGCTGCAGTGAGCCGCGATCGCGCCACTGCACTCCAGCCTAGGTGACGGAGCGAGACTCCATCTCAAGAAAAAAAAAAAAAAAAAATGCAATTTAGGCAAGATGTCCATCCATTACCCATTACCCAGGTGGAAAGTTTTGTAGAAATGCTAGTTTCTAATCAAAATGTCCTGCTGCCACAAGGTTTATTTTTTCATTCAGAATATTCAAGAGACAAATTAAAAAGCCCAGAATATTTTTTCATTAAAACCTTGTTCTTCTGAGTGACTTATGATTAACTAATGTGGTTTGAAAGACTCAGTGGGCATATAAAGTATACTAAAACTGTTTGTTTCTTGGAGTCAATTTTAGCCCTGTTTCTCAGACCTTCAGTGAAACGGTATACTTTTATGACTTCAAGAGAGCCCCAAGAAGAAATAAATATGTTGGCTTAGAAAATAAAATTTCCAAAGAAGCATCAATGAATACTAGAAGAGTTCATGAAATTGGATACCTATGATAATAATTCTGATTAATTTTTCAAAGATTAAATATAGTCAAAATTCTGTACAGTAAACCAAATAGTTTGATTGATGCTGATATTTTATTCAGTTGAGTAGGCATCTTACAGACACAGCCTTAAAACTTAGAAGGCTATGTAATCAAAAAGCTGTACTAAGTCTTAATGTCATAGTAACATATAGTTTTGGTGAAGGACTTAAAAAATCAAAAAAGTATGTACCCAAACCGAAATATTTGAAAGGATATTGATGCTTTAGTATTCTAGGCAATTGGAATTGTAGATTTATACTACTTTTTCCTGCTGCAGAATTGTAGATTTATACTACTTTTTCCTGCTGCAGAACAACATATTCATATTTTCTGCTTCATTGTAACAGCATTTGAAAGTTTGTGTATGTGTGGGAAGTGGTAGGCGGAGGAGAATGGGTCTGAATAATTAAAAATAAGTATGATAATTTAGAACCAGTAATTTATTTTTATTTTCTATATTGGATCTTTTTAGGGATTGCATTGTTCTTCCAACCTTAAGCTTCTAACCTTAGTATTAGAATCCTTCAAGCAGGTACTAGGTGAACCAACCCATTTTTGGTTATAGGTTTCTAGACCGGGAGTGGGCAACTGATTTAGAGAACATCACTATAGAGGGTAGATTGATTGAATCCAGATATCTCACCCAGGAATTTGAAATTGGGACATATAGAGACAGGGTCAATTATCTGTGGAAACTGGACATGGAGTTTACATATTTCAGAGATTCAAGGCACATGTTGGCAGAGTCAGGGCAGACTATGTGTAATTAGAGAAGAGGAAACCAGGATGAGACTAAAAGCCTTCCATTCTTGGTTCTGTCCCTCAGAAAGCCTGGAAGCACTATGTACCCTGAGTTTTGCAAGATACTCTGGAACTCCCAATATATACTGTTTTCTTTTCAAGGTATTTTCAGAGAGTTTCTAGTTTTTGAAACCAAACCATCACTGACTAACGTATAGAACAGTACAATTAAGTGAAAGCAAGGTGAGAATGAAGAAGCCAGTGCTATTCAGGAACAGTTGCAAAAGAGTCTCAGATCATGACAGATCACACAGGCCATGCTCAATGTAGCTAAATCTTTCCGAAATGAGTAACTTTCCCACCAGGCAACTAACAAATCTCAAAACCCCTTAGTGCTAGTTTTCCTCTTTTCTTTCATTCCCCATGCTCAAACAGCCAACAATATTCATTATTGTAATTTATAGACAATGCAACTGAAACCCAAGGGGGGAAATCATATAGCTCAAGTCTATGGATCTGGTTACCAACAGACCCAGAGTTACATGGCTGAGTTCCATGACCTATCCAATAGCCCTTCTAATTGTCACTTTACTTTTATGGCTATGCCATAATGAAGTAAAACAGAATGAAAATTATGTATAACAGACACATTGAGAAAGTGTATTCCTCTTGAATGTGAGCAATTTGGATACATTTCAGAATCTAGTCTTTGGCCTTCTCTATCAACTTTCATTAATGACTTGAACTCATCTGGTCCTGTGGCTTTAAATACCCTTCATGGGCAAATGACTCCCAAATTATATTTATAGCTCTGATCTTTCCCCAGAACCCTAGGGTTTTATTTCCCACCGTTTATTCAACATCTCCAACTGGATGTTTAATAGTTATCTCAAATTGATAGGTGCAAAGCCAAATTCTTGATTTCCATCTCCAAAACTGTTTTTCCCCTATGTTCTCATTTCAGAAAATGGCAGCTCAACTCAATAGTGACTCGGTTCCAAGCCTTGAAGTGATTTTTTACCTTCTCATATTTCACATTCAATCTGCCGTGCATTGTATTGGCTCTGCCTTGCAAATATGCCCCAAACCATACCACTATTCCCACACCCCCACCCCTTGTACAGCCACAGGAGTCCTGGCCACCACCATTGATTGGCTTCTACTGTCTTTGTATAGTCTGTTCTCAACACTTCTGCCAGAACATTTTTCGATACATACAACTATAACTCCTGTAACTTTCCTGCTTATAGTATTCCACTGGTGTCAGATCATATATAGAAAAAAAAATCACAGAGTCAGCAAAGCCTGTGTAATCAGGCTATGACTATTAGTCTGCCCTGATTTCCTCACAATTTTCTCCTCTGATTACTTGCTTCATCCACGTTGACCCCTCGCTCTTCCTCTAATACAAAAAACTTTCTTGCCTCAGGATTTTGTATTTGGGGATTGTTCTGCCTGGCAGGCTCTCCTCTATGTCTTATTTTGTATTCTCTGCTCCAATGAAGTGGGAACTTCATTGGTTATCTCTGCTAAAATATCCTCTCTTCATGGAGTCTTTCTTTGATCTCTCTCCCTAAAATATAGCAGCCTCATTCTCATCACCTTTACCTCCTTGCGCTATTGCTTTCATAGCAGTTACTGCTACCTGGCATTGTATTATATGTTTTTCTTTCTTTATTGTCAATCTAACCTATCAGAGTTAAGCTCCAAAAGAGGGAAACATTATTAATTTTGTTCACTGATGCATCCCCAGAACCTAGAATCACATCTGGTATATCATAGGTGTTAAATAAATATATGTTGAATGTATTTAAGCTTCCTAACATATAAAATTGTTTATTATTCTTAAGAAAATAACATTTTTTTCAAAATGTGGTTTGCGATTTGAGAAGATGGGAAATAGGTTTAAAAACATGTATAATTGGCTATTTAAAGTGTAGCTATTTAAAGTGCACAGTTAGAGAAATTCGTTGATCAAAACAAATTTAAATGTACATGTTTAAGTGTAAAATTTGATAATGTATTCTTTTTATATGTATGCCACATGATAATATCACCATCATCAAGGACAGTTTCAGCATCTTGGCCTGTACTTCAAAGACAAAATTTCTTAATTTTGATGAAGTTTTTATTTTTTTATTTTTTATTTTTTATTTTTTTTTTTGAGACAGAGTCTTGTTCTGTCACCCTGGCTGGAGTGCAATGGCACGATCTCGGCTCACTGCAGCCTCTGGCTCCCAGGTTAAAGTGATTTTCCTGCCTCAGCCTCCCAAATAGCTGGAACTACTAGCTTCTGCCACCATGCCCGGCTAATTTTTGTATTTTTAGTAGAGACGGGGTTTCACCATGTTGGCCAGGCTGGTCTCGAACTCCTGACCTCAAGTGATCCACCCGCCTTGGCCTCCCAAAGTGCTGGAATTACAGGCATGAGACACCATGCCCAGCCGATGAAGTTTATTTTTAATTTTTTTGTCTGTTTTGGTGTTTGTTTATTGTTTTCCATATCTAAGAAGTCTTTGCCTAACCCAAGGTCACAAAGATTTTGTCCTATGTTTTCCTCTGGGAGTTTTGTAGTTTTGGGTTTTAAATTTAGGTCTGTGGTAGATTTTGAGTTAATTTTTGCCCATAATTCAAGGTATGGATTAAAGTTTATATCTATACCCAATTGTTCCAGCACCATTTGTTGAAAATACTATTTTTATTCACTAAATTCCCATTGTAGCTTCATTACAAATCAATTGACCATATAAATACAGGTTCTGTGCACTTAATTCTGTTCCTTTCATCCACATGTCTGTCTTGATACCAGTATCACACAATCTTAATGGCTGTCTCTTTCACAAAGTCAGTTAGTGTAACTTCTCCAAGCGAATTATTTTTGCAAATTGTTTTGGCTATTCTAGATCCTTTGCATTTCTTTATTAATTTTAGAATGTGCTTGTTAATTTCTACTAAAGTCAAAGGAGATTATGACTTGAATTCCACTGAATGTACAGATTAATTTAGGACAAATTAACTTTTTGACAATATTGAGTCTTTTAGAACATGAGCATGTTACATCTCGCCACTTATTTAGGTCTTCTTTGTTTACTCTCAGCAATGCTTTGCAATTTTCAGTGTAGAAGAATTGTACATTTTTGGTAAAGAATACTACTGTTTATATAACATTGAAAAAAGTTTTGACTAAAAGTATTGCGCCATCTTTGCATCTTTCATATTCCCAAACACATACCTACCATTTTGTTAACTGAATTTATTATTTGCTTTCATGTTGAACAATTCCTAAAAATAAATCTAACACATGTATTTGCATAAAATTAGTTTGGAACTATGGAGGGAAAAGGGCAGGAGTAGAAGCTGTGGGAATGCTGAATAAGAGATGATCACCTGGACAAATTTTATAAAGCAATGAGGTTTAAGAATATTAGAACTTTCAAGTAAGAACTACGTTTTTATTTAAAACGTGTTCATTATTATGAATTGTGTCTAACCATAATCAGAACTAAAAAAAAGATTACAAAATTATTTTGATTCCTCCGCAGTGGCCTTACTTAAAATGACCAGCAGTTTTCATAGGAAATTCCAATCTTATTTCAACAAAAATGGATCAGGAGACTCGTTTCTGACATTGTTAGGATGCCTTGGGGTTCTGACCAGCCAGAATTACAGAACTCCAAGTTAGAGCAATAAAACCAGTCCTGCATGGTAAGGATTATTTAAAATATAACAATATTTTCCCATTATGTAAATAAGCTTCGAAAGGCCGGTATTTAAAATAGGAGTCTTTTAACTTTATCATTTTTCTTGTATGATAAAAAATACACTTCATTTTATAAGAATTGGTGAATTAAATTTTAGAAGATAAGACTGATGAGGAAAATCTAAAATAAATTATTTAGAGAAGTTCTGAGATTATGAATCTTGGAAAAATTGGAAACTATTCAAAATTTGAGTGTATAAAACAAGTCTTGCATACAAATAAAAATCTTAATTTTCTTCTCATGGCATTCATTACAAGTGTATAGAGACATCATGGAGTTTTGTATGTTGATCTTGTACCCTAACACTGCTGAATTCATTTTTTAGCTTTAGTAAGATTTCTTGTGGATGTTTTAGGACTTTCTATGCATAGGATCATGTTATCTGAAAATAGAGTTTTACTTCTGCCTCTTCTATTTGAATACCTTTTATTCCTTTTTCTTACCTAGTTGCCTTCGATAGAACTTCCAGCACAATGTTGAATAAACGTGATGAAAGTGGGAAATTCATAAATGCCCTCTTTCATATTCAAGAAATTCCTATTTCTACTTTTTTGAGTGTTTTTACTTATAAAAGCTTGTTTAATTTGTAAAATGCCTTTTCTGTGTTATTTGAGATGATCATGTGAATTTTTTCTTTGTTCTATTTTTATGCCTTACTACATTGAATGAATTGTATTTGTATATACTACCAATGAACAATACAAAAAGAAAATTAAGAAAACAATAGTGTCACAAAGAATAAAATATTTAGAAAAAGTTTAACCAAGGAGGTGAAACACTGTATACTAAAAACTATAAAACATCGTGAAAATTAAAGAAGATATATACAAGTTAAAAGAAAACTTGTGCTCCTGACAGGAACACTTAATACTGCAAAGATGTCAGTACTACTCAAAGTGATCTATAGGTTCAATGCACTTCTTATCAAAAAACCTTTTTTGATTTTTGAAGAAATAGAAAATCTGATCCTGAAATTCAGATGGGTCCACAAATGGCCAAAATAATTTTGAAAAAGAGGAATAAAATTGGAGAACTCACACTTCATCACTGCAAAGCATACAACAAAGCTAAAATAATCAAAACAGTGTGATATTGGCATATGTTACAGACTAATGGAATACAATTGAGTTCAGACATAAACCCTGACATTTATGGTCAATTGATTTTTGACAAGAATGCTTAGTCCATTCAAAGGAAAAAGAAGTATCTTCAACAGACATTGCTGGGGAAACGAGATTTCCATACTCAAAAGTATGATGTTGAACATTCATCTCATACGGTAAACAAAAAATTAACTCAAAATGGATCAACGACCTAAATGTAACAGCTAAAACTATAAATCTCTTAGAAAAAAATATAGGGGAATATCTTCTTGAATTTGAGTTTGGTAATTCTTAAATGTAACATTAAAGGCACAGAAAAGAAAAAGTAATAAAAATTTACCAAAATTAAAAATGTTTCTGCATCAAAGACATTATTAAGAAACTAAAAAGGCAACCTATGGAGTGGAAGAAAATACTGTAAATCTAATATCTGATAATGTTTTAATATCTAGAATGTATAAAGAATAGCTACGACTCAGTATCAACAGAACAGCCCAATTAAAAAATTGTCAAGGTGCTAGAATGTTTTTTCAAAAAAATACAAATGGTTAATAAGCACCTTACAAAGATACTCAATATCATTATTCATTAGGGAAACCAAATAAAAAAGCAGAATGAAATACCATTACGATGGTGGAATATGTGTACATTGCTCCTGGGAATGTAAATTGGTGCAAGGCTGATGATGGAATTACTATACGACCTAACAATTTCAGCAATCACACTCCTAGGAATAAACCCAAAAGAAATGAAACAAAATACTTGTATGCCAGTGTTCATTGCATCATTATTCACAACAGCCTAAAATATGGAAACAATCCAGTGTCCATCAACAGATGAGTGGATAAACAAAATTTGTATATTCATGTGTTGGAATATTATTTAGCCATAAGAAGGAATGAAGTTCTGATACATGGATGAAACTTAAAAACATTATGCTGGGCTGGGCACGGTGGCTCACTCCTGCAATCCCAGCACTTTGGGAGGCCGAATCAGGCAGATCATGAGGTCAGGAGATCAAGACCATCCTGGCTAACACGGTGAAACCCCGTCTCTACTAAAAATACAAAAAATTAGCTGGTTGTGGTGGCAGACGCCTGTAATCCCAGCTACTCTGGAGGCTGAGGCAGAAGAATCACTTGAACCCAGGAGGCAAAGGTTGCAGTGAGCTGAGATCACACCACTGTATTCCAGCCTGGGCAACAAGGTGAGACTCCGTCTCAAAAACAAATAAATAAAAATTCTAGGTGACAAGGTACCAAAAGATAAATGCGTATGATTCCACTTATATGAAGTATCTAAAATAGACAAATTCATAGATATCAAAGTAGATTCAAGGTTACTGGGGGTGGAGGGAGGGGTGAATGGGGAGTTATTGCTTAATGATTACAAGTTCTTGTTTGGGACAGTAAAAAATGGTTTGGAACTAGAGAGGTGATGGTGATATAACAGTGTAAATATAATGAATGCCATTAAATTGTACACTCGAAATGATACATATGGTTAATTTTATGTTAAATATATTTTACCACAGGAAAAAATCATTTTCTGGGTAGTCTTCTTTTTAATAAATTAGAAAATTAAAATTAACGTTTTCATTGTGAAGTAATTTTTATGTTAAGCTGGTTTACTTACATAGATCATTCTTTACAAAACTGTGCTTTACCTAGAGATGTATACGGGACTAATTCTTTTCTAATAACTGAAGATGATATTCATGGTTAATATCAGTGACTTATAGAAGTGATTAATAAAAGCACAACTTTGTGATTACCTAGTAGAATTATCTTTGATTTCACAAGTATAGGGGTTTTTCAATAACCTCCATACTTGTAAAACCAAGGATAATTTAATTAATGAGAGTTTATTTGAGGGCTTTATTAACGTAGAAGGGGGCATTCATTATGTGATACCAATATAAGTGAAATCTCTTTTATAGTAAGAATTCCTTTATTAAATAAGTGTTGCAGAAGATTTTTCTGTATATAAATATAGTATATAGGGGAAATTAATTCATTCTATCAGTGCTAGACTCTATTACAGAGTGACACACACACTAGGTTTACAAGTTTCTCTAGGACTTGTCATCGTTTATGCAAGGAAAGTTTAAGTATTAAACTGTACTATATAATGGTGGACTTTCATATACCCAAAATAAAAATGTATACTTACTTCTAAATGATTTTAAGATTTAAAATCTTAAATCCCCTGCCACTTCATTATTATGACACCTGTTATGGTGATCTGTGGTCAGTGGTCTTTGATGTTACTGATGTAATTTAAAATCTTAAAATAAGTTAACCTTAAAATATTTTAGATTGACTTCAAAGAAAACAATTACAAATTTTAAAAATCACAAGTAATATGTGAATGTACGTGGAACATGGCCTCTGCACATGCAGGTGTACCATGATGCAACTTGCTTTTAGAGTTAGAAGACCTGGGTCTGAGTCCAGACTCTGAGTCTTATTACCCTGGACAAGTCATTTAATCTATAATTTTTGACAAGTGTACCACAGCTGTAACGAAATCCACCCTCTGCACCTCACTGAATTGTGAAGTCATGTACTGTTAGTGAGCATGCTTTGTGAAGCACAAGCTTATTTTGAACAGCGATTGCAGTATGTTTGAACCATGCCTATGATGGGGCTCATTGCCTTTTAAGTATCTATATTGAATGATGGAAAAGTACATCAAACTCAGTTACATTAAAAACAAAAATACTGTTTTCATCAGCATAATACCAGTTATGCTGTGTGACCACAGCTAAAAATTATTTTATTCTTTCATACATAATAATTTAATAGAGAGTAACTGTCCATTCTTCTGAACATTTCATAGGTCAGGGAACTGAGGCAAAATGAAGCAAAATGAATTTTGCTGTGGGAACAGATGCTAGCAAAACTAGTCCCCAAACTCATGTGGTCTACCTCCTGGTTTGATATTTTGGGAATTATTAATGTGTAATCATAATAGAATAATGTGTAGGGGAGAATACTGAGCTCCTAGTATCTTGTCTTTCCTTAGAAGAATGCACTGGCTGCAGGTAAAATGTGGTCTCATTTAAGCCTCTTCAAGTAATATTGGAGTTAAATAGATAACAATTTCAGGGGCAAGTTTTTTTGGGGAAATGCTGTTGATTATACCACTAAAAAGTAGCCAAAAGGAAAAGTTTTAAAAATAAAGTGTCAAAATTTTGTAATATATAAAAGATGGAAAATGCCCCAAATTAAATATCAAGTAACATGAGAGACATTTTATGTTCTAGAGCTGCATTTTTGCTGATTGGTTGATTCTGTTGTATACATCTCAGGGTAAATATTTTAAATAAATGTTATTTAGAAAAAATCATCTTGTTTATTTTGTATTAAGTCAGCCATAATTTGAGTGTTATAGATACTTGCTAAATATTTGAGACCCTTTATAATTAAACCTTCATGTACTCAGATGTGAGGTTGAAAGCAATTCACTTAGAAATCCCCACCAGCACCCGCACCATCATGATCACAACTCTAACAACAACCAAATATAAGGAAAATGTAATTGATATGTACCTATGCATAGAACTCTCTGCTATTACTTGGGTACATTGTATGTTTCTAAATAAAGAAACTAAAGAATCTATCAAACTAAGAAGCTGTTGTGCTATGTGTGTGTGTGCATACGCATACACTTGTGTGTTTAAGTTTCTTAAAGAGAAAGTAAATTCTCTTTCAAAGCATTACAAAATCTATGGAAACAAATCACCTCAGATACAAAAAATTCGGATGTTTATAATAAAACTTGTGCTGCACATGTCTAGAAATGTTTTGTTTATTTTTCCTTTTAAGGATTATATATGGTGTAGTGGAACAGGGTATGTACTGTTGGAAATGTTAGACTTCTTCCTGTGACCCTGAGTTGGTGCCAACTAATAAGTGACACATTTATTCATATAACTAGTCAGTCTATACAATCCCTATATAAAAACTTAAATGATCAATAATTTTAATATGTTGACATGACATACATTTACATGGACCAGTGCTTTCACATTTTAAATCAATTGCCCATTTAATTTTCATACCTGGCATATTTATTTAGGAAGAAAAAGCCAAACGAACCATCCAGTGTTGGATATTAACGTACCTAAAGGCGTGTTAGTCACACAGCCTTTAAAGCGTGTCAGTCGCACTGTGTCTTTTAAAAATTGTGTTACTATTCCAATTTAACAATAAAGTAAATAAATCATTCTTACTATGTGCAACTTCCCTTATGGTTTTTATTGGGATAAAAACCTAAAGATCAAAAATGTTCACTGATGCCAAGCTATTCTATAAACAACGTTCCCAGTCACTCCCCTGCCACTTCTTTTTGCCAGAAGAAACAAACGCGGTTGCTTTACTGCAGCCAACACTGAATTTTGACAAGGAGGCAAAATGATAAGCAGCCAACAAATACCAGAAGAATAATGCAAGGAATCTTGCCTCAAACTGAGAGTACACAGTCAAGCAGTGGCAACTTGAAAGCTGACTCTGATCTTGATTTTGATAATCTACCTCAGATTTCAAAGCACAGCTAAAAAAGTATTCATTCTTCTCCATAAACTAATATTATGAACAAGCTACACAGATGGCCATCAACCATAATATGTAATTTGATTTTTAAATATGTCTCTTTTTGTTTTCTTTAAAATAATTTCTATAGTTTCTCAGATTATTAAATTCTGGTTTTAGGTACGTGAATTATTGGCGAACAAGCTCTCCACTGTTGCACAAAGTTAAACAATGATGATATTGTAAATATAAAAGTATAATAGCAAAATCTTTATATGGTGCTGGTAAATTTCAGATATTATGCTAAACACTTTCTGTATATTTCCCTCTTAATCTTACACCAACCTTATGAAGAATTATAATTATCTCTATTGAACAGAGGAGGAGACTGAGACTGGACAAAATGTAGTACATTTTATTGCACTGCACTTTAATGTACTTCACAGATATTGTGTTTTTACTAATTGAAGTTTTGTGGTCACCTTGCATCCAGCAAGTCTATCAGTGCCAATTCCCCAACAGGATGTGTTCACTTTGTGTGTCCTTGTAAAATTTTAGCAATCCTTGCCATATTTCCAACTTTTTCATTATGACACCTGTTATGGTGATCTGTGATCAGTGGTCTTTGATGTTACTGGTGTAATTGTTTTAGAGCACCATGAACTGCACCCACATAAGACAGTGAACTTAATTAAGAGTCGTGTGTGCACTGACTGCTCCACTAACCAGCCATTCCCCCATCTCCCTCTCCTCAGGCTTCCCTATTTTCTGAGACACAACAATACTGAAAATAGGCTAATTAATAACCCTAAAATATCCTCTAGGTGCTTCATTGATAGGATGAATTACACATTTCTCATTTTAAATCAAAAGCTGTAAATGATTTAGCTTAGTGAGGAAGGCAAGTTGAAAGCTATGATAGGCCAGAATCTAGGCTGCCTGCACCAGTAAGCCGAGTTGTGAATTCAAAGGAAAAGTCCTTGAAGGAAATTGAAAGTGCTACTCCAGTGAATACACAACAAAAAGAAAGTGAAACTGTCTTATTGCTGAGGTAGAAAACGTCGGGTAGTCTGGATAGAAGCTATGACATTCTCTCTACCCAAAGTCAAATCCAGAGCAAGGCCTTAATGCTTTTAAATTCTATGAGGGATGAAAGCAGTGGGAAAGTTTTGGAAGAAAAGTTTGAAGCTAGCCGATGTTGGTACATGAGATTTAAGTAAAGAAGCCATCTCCGTAACATAAAAGTGCAAGGTTGAAGCAGCAAGTGCTGATGGAGAAGCTGCAGCAAGTTATCTAGAAGATCAAGCTATTTTTGATGAATGTTGTTAAAATAAACAATAGATTTTCAATGGAAACAAAACAGCCTTCTACTGGAAGAAGATGCCATCTAGGACTTTCATAGCTAGAGAACTATGAAAGCTAGAGAGCTGGAGAGCTAGCCTGGCTTCAAAGTTTCAAAGGACAGGCTGACTCTCTTGTTAGGGGATAATGCAGCTGGTGACTTAAAGCCAAAGCTCATTTACCATTCCAAAAATCCTAAGGCCCTTAACAATTATGCTAAATTTACTCTGCCAGTGCTTTATAAATGGAACAATAAAGCTTGTATGACAGCATGTCTGTTTATGGTATGATTTGCTGAATATTTTAAGCCCCCTATTAAGACCTACTGCTCAGAAAAAAAAGATCCTGGATGGGCACAGTGTCTCATGCCTGTATTCCCAGCACTTTGGGAGACCAAACTGGGAGAATCACTTGAACCCAGGAGTTTGAGAGCAACATAGGAAACAAAGTGAGACCCGATCTCTACAAAAAAAATAATAATTTAGTCAGGCATGGTGGTGTGCACCTGTAGTCCCAGCTACTTGGGAGGCTGAAGTAGAAGGATTGCTTGAGTTCAGATTGTTGAGGCTGCAGTGAGGCATGATCATGCCCGTGCACTCCAGCTAGGGTGACAGAATGAGACACTTTCTCAAAAAAATTAAATTTTAAAAAGATCTCTTTCAAAATATTACTTCCCATTGACCTAGTCACCAAAGAGCTCTGAAGAAGATGTACAAGGAGATTAATGTTTCCATGCCTGCTAATGCAATATCCATTCTGCAGCCTGTGGATGCATGAGTTATTTTGATTTTGAAGTCTTCTTACTTAAGAAATATATTTTGTAAGGCTGTAGCTGCCATAGATAGTGATTGCTCTAATGGATCTGGAAAAGTAAATAGAAAATCTTCTGGAAAGGACTTAACATTCTAAATGCTATTAATAACGTTTGTGATTCATGGATAAAGGTCAAAATGTCAACTTTGACAGGAATTTGGAAGAAGTTGATTCCAACCTTCATGGATGACTTTCAAGGGTTCAGAATTTCAGTGGAGAAAGTAACCACAGATGTGGTCAAAATAAGAGAAGTAGAGTTAGAAGTAGAATCTGAAGATGTAGCTAAATTGCTGTAATCTCATGATAAAACTTGAGCGGATGAGGAGCTGCTTCATATGGATGAGAAAATAAAGTGGGTTTTGGAAATAGAATCTACTACTGGGAAAGATGCTGAGAACCTTGTTGAAATGGTAACAAAATATGTAGAATATTACATAAACTTAGTTGATAAAGCAGCAGCAAGGTTTGAGAAGATTGATTTCAATTTTGAAAGAAGTTCTTCTGAGGGTAAAATGCTGTGAAACAGCACCATATGCTGTAGAGAAATATTTTGTGAAAGGAAGAATGAAGTGCTGTGGCAGACTTCATTGTTGTCTCATTTTAAGAAATTGCCACAGCCAATCCAACCTTCAGCAACTTCCACTCTGATTAGTTGGCTGCCATCAAATGGAGGCAAAACCCTCCACCAGCAACAAGTTGATGACTCCCTAATGACTCAGATGATGGTTAGCATTTTTTAGCAACAAAGAATTTTTCCAATTAAAGTGTATGCATTGTTTTTTAGACATAATGCTCTTGCACATTTAATAGACTAGTGTAAATATAATTTTTATATGCATGAGGAAACCGAAAATATCTTATGACTAACTTTATTGTGATACTTGCTTTATTGTTGTGGTCTAGAACCAAACCTGCAATATTTGAGGTCTGCCTGTAAGATGTCTTTTTACTCACAACCAATAAATGAAAGAGTTCTTTCCCAAACCCAGACATACTGATGCTGAAGCCTGTTTATTACCACGGTGCTTGCTGCCTCTTAATAGAATAAATGCAAATTTCTTCATCCAAGGGCTCTAGAAGAGGTCTGCCTTAGCACTAAATATTACAGGACAATATTTTGTTTTACCATAAATATTCTGTAGGATGCTTCATATAAGTAATCTACATACTACTAGCTGATTGCTGCGAAGAATCCCTGTGGATTAGAGAAAATCTTTGTGCCCACCAATAGTTTACTTCTCAGTTAGGAGAATCTGAGTTTTACGCCAGTCATCTACACCATAACTTAATTTTCTCTTTAAAACTCAACTCTGGCATTCCATTCAGAAAATTCTTTGAGCTGCCTTGTACTGATCTAGGTTACATAATTCTGAGAAAAATAGGTTACTTTCTGGGGGAGAAGTGAAGTGTGATGTCTCCATGATTCTAAGCAAATCATTGTAAAGAGAAACAATACATGATTTAGCTTGTGCCATATAATACCCAACATCCGCTTATCAATTTGAGACATGTAGATATTAGCCTTTTAAAATACAAATTAGAGAATCGGCACTCTTTTCAGATGAAAGTAAGTGAACATAATCAAAAGAATGGAAAATAAAACCTCTGAGAAAAAGTTACAAGTTTAGGGATATATAAAATTAGTGGGATATATAAAATTAGTGAAGATGAAGCTGTTAATACAAGACCTTAGGTGATAAATAATTATTTCGAGGAGACTAGAGCAAGAGATTTCTATAGTAATTCTCCAGTATGAGAAGTAGATGTCATACAAAAGACAGAACTGAGTTGCAAAGGGAATTAGGCTCCCAAGAGAGTTTATGGAATTTCCAACATGGAAAATTTACAAAATTAAAATTTTACAGAATCCCCTGTGCTAGTCTGATATCTTGAGGCAAGAAAGTAGGCCCTGTCTTTTGAGGTTGGTGAATTTATGCTTTGAGATCTGTAGATAGGGTGTAATAGTCAGTGGTATGCTATTGATACAGAGTTCAAATCAGCATGATTTTTATAAAACATTTATCCACTGATTAAAATAAATTCAAAAGTATGTTCCTCTATTGAGTGCTACTTTTGGGTTGGCTCTAAAAGCATATCATTTGTATTTGCTTAAAAAATAATAACTTATTGAGGAAAGTGATTACAAAAAAATTCTAGCCAAGTTAAACAAACAAATGACAGCATTTCCTTTTCCATTTTCCTAAGGTAATTAAAATTTGGGGGAATGGGTCCAAAATTTAGACTATTCCAGCCTACATTCCAAGAAATTCTTTGCAGGATTAATCATTAGCTTCAGGTTCCAAATACCTCAGTAAAAATGCTGCATGCCATTTGTCACGTGGACATGAAAGCTTTTGAACTGCATTCATTTTGTCAGTTCTGTGAAACTTTGCAATGTTCATAGCAATACTTAAAGAAGGATATATATGTTAAAAGCTATTAATTTTGAAAGTGGTTTACAGGTATTTTAAATAGATATAGTACTGGTGTGTGATGTTCCCCTTCCTGTGTCCAAGTGTTCCCATTGTTCAATTCCCACCTATGAGTGAGAACATGCGGTGTTTGTTTTTTTGTCCTTGCGATAGTTTGCAGCCATAAAAAATGATGAGTTCATGTCCTTTGTAGGAACATGGATGAAGCTGGAAACCATCATTCTCAGCATAGTATTCCATGGTGTGTATGTGCCACATTTTCTTAATCCAGTCTATCATTGTTGGACATTTGGGTTGGTTCCAAGTCTTTGCTGTTGTGAGTAGTGCAGCAATAAACGTACGTGTGCATGTGTCTTTATAGCAGCATGATCACGTTGTGCACATGTACCCTAGAACTTAAAGTATAATAAATATATAAACAACAAATAAATAAATACACATACAAAAAAAAAGACATAGTCCTGCATTGCTTAGTGGTGGGAATAGGTTCTGAGAAATATGTCATTAGGCAATTTAATCGTTGTATGAACGTCATGAGTATACTTACACAAACCTAGATACTATAGCCTACCTAGGCTATTGCTCCTAGCCTGCAAAACTGCATAGCATGTGACTATATTGAATACTGTAGGCAATTGTAACGCAATGGTAAGTATTTTTGCATCTAAATATGTCTCAACATAGTAAAGGTACAATAAAAAATGGTACACCTGTGTAGGGCACTTATTATTAATGGAGATTTGCAGGACTGGTAATTGCTCTGGGTGAATAGGTGAATGAGTAATGAATGAATGTGAAAGCCTAGGACATTATTGTACACTACTGTAGACTTCATAAATACTATAAACTTAGGCTAAACTAAATTTATAAAAATATTTTTTCTTCAATAATAACCATAGCTTACTCTAACTTTTTAACTTTATACCTGTTTAAAGTTTTTAAACTTTTTGACCCTTTTGTAACAATGCTAAGCTTAAAACACATTGTATAGTTGTACAAAATATTTCCTTTATATCCTTATTCAATGAAATTTTTTCTATTAATATTTTTTAGTTTTACATTTTTTAAATGTAAAACTAATTTTTATAAGTAACATTTAAAAATGTAAAACATGCACATTAGCCTAGACCTAGACAAAATCAGGATCATCAATATCACTGCCTTCCATCTCTACATCCTGTCCCACTGGAAGGTCTTCAGGGGCAAGAACATACAGGAAGCTGTCACCTTTTATAATAACAATGCCCTCTTCTGGAATAACTCCTGAAGGATTAACTTTAAAAAAAATTGAAGGAGTACACTCTAAAATAACAATAAAAAGTATAGTGTATTAAGCACTCAAATCAGTAATATAGTCATTTATTATTATCAAATATTATGTACTATAGATAATTGTATGTGCTATACTTTTATGTGACTGGCAGTAGGGTGGGCTTGTTTACACCAGCATCGCCACAAACACATGGGTAATGTGCTGTGCTAAGATGTTACAACAGCTAAGATGCCACCAGGCAATAGGAATTTTTCAGCTCCATTAAAATCTCATGGAACCAGTCGTATATGCAGTCTGTGGTCGACCAAAATGTCTGTATAAATATAGATATGTATATATATCTATAGGTATATGTAGGTAGACTGTATAAATATAAACAAGCACACATGTGTTCACATAGTCATGGGTTGCATAACAATATTATACACACACACACTACACACACACATACACACACATATTTTGTTATATAGAATGTACATAAAATACATTTTATACCTAATTTGTTACCCCCAAAAAGCTAGTTTTCTTTTTTTTTTCTTTTTTTAGTAACATCTAGAAACCAAGAATAATTAGGGAGAATTTCGTAAATTTTGAAATGGTCTTATATTCTTGTTTGTAATATCTGTTGACACAACAATATACAAGCAAGAAGGTCATCATTTAAGGGAATTTAAAAGGGTTAAAAGGATAGTAACGATATTATTTTAGGGTTGCAGAATTTAACTTTCCGTCAAGGTAACAAACAACACCCTAAGGTATTATTATTGGGAACTGAGAATATCAAAAGTTAATCCCTTATTCTCCTCTTAATGAACTCTGTATCAATGAAGAAACCATTCATTGCTTAAGACTCTTCCCTTTATTATAAATTGAAATGAGCCTTCTAGATAATCATAGGAACCTTCACAACTTAGCTTTGCAGCATTCTTTGCTGTATCTATTTCTTTTCTGAACCACCTGTTATCTTCATTCATAAAGCAGGAGCAAGATCCTGGAATGTTGGTAATTCCAATTTTCACAGGGTTCGTTAGTGGAAAGTAACACTCAGAATGATTTAAGAATGCTTTTACCACAACATGCAACACTTACTGTTTGGGCAGAGCTTTCATGTTTTATGAATTGCTGGGACATGCTTCATCTCACAAATAAACATCTTAAATGCAGTGTAGTTAGGGTTTGACTTGAGCAAAAATGACCAAAGGAAGGGTTTGTGTTTGGTTCTTGTAAAATGACCTTCATAGTCTCGAGAAGGGGAGAGGCCATGTAGCATGCACCGTAATGTTATGCCCATCTTGGGATCTCAGAAGGCAGTTTATTAATGTAAATTCTTTAATGAATACCAGTGATTGAAAACTATTATTTTACAGTCATGTATAGTTATTTTACATGGCCATAGCTTCTGCAAGAAGGCTGTGTGTGTCAGAAGTTTGGGAGCTTTGAACATGCAAACCAAATACTTGGATGAAAGTAAATTGTTTTGAGATATTTACCTTCTGTGGATGGAAAAATAAAAAGTGGTTATCTAGTCATGATATGAATATCTAGGGCTATTACTATCTCTCTGAAACTGGAATTGATAGTAAGGTGAGAACTAGCTAACATATCTTCACAGGAATATTCTTAAATTCTAGCAACATGATATAATGAAATGAAAAATTTGAATCAGAGCCGATTCATCTGTATTTTTGTGTTCTTCCCTCTTCCTTGACAGCACAAATTATTTGGATGCACATTTATCTATAGTGAAATGTTAAAGAGAAAGGAGAAAAGCGACTGATAGACATTCAAAAAGCAGTGTGTGTGAAGGGAGAGAAAAAGGTGGTTTCCTTGATAGGGTTGACGACATGGTAGTATTAACACAAACAGTCAAACCCAGGCATTGGTAAAGGACTAAAGAATCACAATTGTAAGATGGAAACCCACAGAAAAGACTCCTCTGAAACTTTTTACCCATTTACACCTATCATTCCCCATTTTTCAACTGATTTTACTTACACTTTATTTTCAATGTCTTGTGCTTTTAAAATAATTTTTCAGACATTGCTGCTTTCCTCTTGTTCCCATGTAAATTTTCAGATGCCACATGCACCATTTCTTACTATCTTTTTATAAAAATTGAGACCTATTTATCCAATCAGTGATTATGTGTTATTATGGTAATGAGTAAAGAACAATATCTAAATTATGCAGGCATTAAATAATTTAGAGTGAATAAATACATAAAGAAGTCTGCTAATTTAACATATAAATATTTTATATTAATATGTGTCTGTTTGAAGTTACACAGTAGCTTTATCTGAGATTTTTAAGTGGATGAAAGGAATGTTTTCTGGATAACAGGCATTTCAGAGTATGTGAAATTAACCATAAGGCCAGCCACCTTCCCACTTACGTATTTGTCAAAAATATCTAAATATCCTCATTTACCACAGGAGAGGGGTAGCAATCTCTAAGAGTGACTTTTGTTTCATTAAATGAAAAAAAAATCAGTCTGATCATAAGACTTGCTAATTATTCAAACAGATTGCTAAGAAAAGTGGAAATATTTTCTGAAGATTTTTCTAGTTTACCAGTTTGTGATCAATTTCATGCACTCTTTCTTGGAGACAAAGAAAAATATGAGGAATCTAAGATATTACGTATTGTAATACTGGTGTTACTTAGAACAATTGTTGCAAATCATAAAACTACATTTAGAGTTTTCGTACAGCAGTCAATATGTGTTCATAATTAAATTCACGTGACTTACAATTTTGAGTGTTTGGTATTTTTGTTTGCTTAATATGCTGTATGACCATAAGTTAGAAACTTTTTAATGCTATGAAAGGAAAAATTGCAACAGCCTGATTTGAAAGGGAGGCTTTAGTTTGTAAAGATTAAAAATAACAGCAAGAGAATCATACTTCATCTCTAGTACGAAACACACATTAAATTAGAAACAGATATGAAAATCCCACAAACAGCTGAGATAATATTCCTATCTGAATGCCTTGAAATTTTATATCCTGAGAAGTAAATTTGCTTGAATTACAGTGTAGGTTATCACACATGGCAAACTGAATAATTTTCCTTTCTCAAATATTCTAAAAATCCTCAATATGAAGAATATCTAATTTTCCAGCAAGGAAAAAGTATAAATGATTCAATAGCTGGTTCAAACTTGGAAACAGAAAAAAGCATTATATTTGTCTGTATCAATTTAGTATCGATTATGAACACAGCAGTAAGTGTAACTGCCCTTTACACCATTGTGAATTGCTGAGTGTATATCATCTTGTGCTGCATAACAAATATCCATAAACAAACATTTATAAACTATATGTCTTACTGAAATTTGATTGAGCTACAAAAAAATACCCAAAAAACAACCAGTATGCTTCGGCCTCATGATGCTCAGTTTCCCAAGGGGTAGAAGCTTCCTCCTTAGCATTGCTGTGTCTCGTCATTTTCAGCATGCTCAGTCTGGTATACATAAAGCAACATGACTTGTTGCTATTGAAAAATACGAAACTGCTTAGGATAGGGAATTAGTAATGAAAGTTACTAAGCATGGTTGGGGGGAAAAGTGAAGAGTGGAGAAGGAAGAATTTCATACTTTGCATTCCATATTCTAGACTCTGCTCTATCATCTATCTATGAACTGTATCTATCCATCTATCAAATATCTATTATCTCTACTATCTATCATCTATCATCTATCTATCTATCTATCTATCTATCTATCTATCTATCTATCTATCTATCATCCCTTGAATATCTTTTATCTATCTATTGATCTATCTGTCTATATCTATCTATCATCTCTTATATTTGATGCCTGGTACTTAGTAAATGCCCTCTCTATATATTTGAAATATTGAATGAACATTCAAAGCATTTTCATGGCATTGAAAATAGAAGTAAGTTTTGTTTTCATCTTCCTTTTAGGAATGAAAGAGCTGATTTCAGAAAGTATAAATAGCATATTTAAAGATTTGTATTTAGTGTGTGGCAGAACATAATTTAAGGTGAGGTTTTTCTGATCTCCAAACCTGTTTTCTTTCTGTACCTTCAAAGGAAAGTAAACTATTTGTATAAGAAATACAGAGAAAATACAGACTGAAAGAAGCACTGTCATAGAATTATTGAGCTGGAAGGGATCCTAATGATTATGTAACCAAATCTTATGTTAAAGATGAGGAAATAAATCAAGAAACAGGTTAATGGGGATGGAGTCAAAGGTACAGTAACAGAGAATAAATTCATATATTAAGTGATCATCAATTCTATGGAAAGTGGTAATTTTTGTTGAGTCTTATGATTATTTTTTAAAAACAGGTTTTACATTTAATGGGTAAATTAACATTCATCATTATTATTAGCTTTGACATTTTGATCCTTTAATCAGAAACCAAGATGGAAAAGCTTTATACAATTTCTCTGTAGTAGTATTCTCATTTTAAAAGTAATGAATCAAGGTCTCTCTACCTCAAAGTGCTTCAGTGAGAGTTGTTGCACCGTACGGGTTAGCTCTACTGTGGTATTACAAAACACTTGTGAGTTTTGTGGTCTCAGAATCTATACACATTTTATTTCTTAGGGTTCATGTGCTTTTCGAAGAAGCCAGTTGATTAAACAAAATTATGTAAAGCAACAGATTCAAAAATAGAAATGTTTTAAAAATATAACAGCCTTTATATATCATTGATTTTTCATTAAAAGTTAGAAATGTGAGGGTTATTTATTGTGAAATGTTAAAGAAAACCAACATATTTAAAATACGTTGTAGTGGAGATCGGGTTTAAAAATAAAAAAATACAAATAATTTTCTGACTGATGTAGCATTGGATAGCTATTGTTAGGGCAATCATAAAAAGGGTAAGAAAAGAAAATTTAAACAAAAAACAAAGTAAGTAGATTGTCATTTTCTTTGTTTTGAATAAGGTGGATGGTAAGGGTAGTTGGGCATTCTATTCTAGCACTAGAGAATCTTCCTACCCTAAGATTGGTAATGTTCTTATCTTTCTGGAATTCCTCATTGAGAAATGCCAAGGATTTTCAGCTCCCCTGCTTTTTAAATTACACTTTAAGTTTTAGGATACTTGTGCACAATGTGCAGGTTACATAGGTGTACATGTGCCGTGTTGGTTTGCTGCACCCATAAACTCATCATTTACATTAGGTATATCTCCTAATGCTATCCCTCCCTCAGGCCTCCACCCCTGAAAGGCCCCGGTGTGTGATGTTCCCCTCCCTGTGTCCAAGTGTTGTCACTGTTCAGTTCCCACCTATGAGTGAGAACATGCGGTATTTGGTTTTCTGTCCTTGTGATAGTTTGATGAGAATCGTGGTTTCCAGCTTCATCCATGTCCCTGCAAAGGACATGAACTCATCCTTTTTTATGGTTGCATAATATTCCATGGTATATATGTGCCACATTTTCTTTATCCAGTCTATCATCGATGGACATTTGGGTTGGTTCCAAGTCTTTGCTATTGTGAACAGTGCCACAATAAACATACGAGTGCATGTGTCTTTATAGTAGAATGATTTATAATCCTTTGGGTATGTACCCAGTAATGGAATTGCTGGGTCAAATGGAATTTGTAGTTCTAGATGCTTGAGGAATTGCCACACTGTCTTCCACAATGGTTGAACTAGTTTACAGTCCCACCAACAGTGTAAAAGTGTTCCTGTTTCTCCACATCCTCTCCAGCATCTGTTGTTTTGTGCCTTTTTAATCATTGCCATTCTAACTGGCATGAGATGCTATTTCACTGTGGTTTTGATTTGCATTTCTCTGATGACCAGTGATGATGAGCATTTTTTCATGTGTCTGTTCACTGCATAAATGTCTTCTTTTGAGAAGTGTCTGTTCATATCCTTTGCCCACTTTGTGATGGGGCTGCTGTTTTTAAGTTCTTTGTAGATTCTGGATATTAGCTCTTTGTCAGATGAGTATATTGCAAAAATTTTCTCCCATTCTGTAGGTTGCCTGTTCACTCTGATGGTAGTTTCTTTTGCCGTGCAGAAATTCTTTAATTAGATCCCATTAGTCTATTTTGGCTTTTGTTGCCATTGCTTTTGCTGTTTGAGTCAAGAAGTGTTTGCACATGCCTATATCCTGAATGGTATTGCCTAGGTTTTCTTTTAGGGTTTTTATGGTTTTAGGTCTAACATTTAAGTCTTTAATCCATCTTGAATTAATTTTTGTATAAGGTGTACGGAAGGGATCCAGTTTCAGCTTTCTACATATGGCTAGCCAGTTTTCCCAGCACTGTTTATTAAATAGGGAATCCTTTCCCCATTTCTTGTTTTTGTAGGTTTGTCAAAGACCAGATGGTTGTAGATGTGTGGTGTTATTTATGCGGCCTCTGTCCTGTTCCATTGGTCTATATATCTGTTTTGTTACCAGTACCATGCTTTTTTGGTTACTGTAGTCTCGTAGTACAGTTTGAAGTCAGGTAGCATGATGCCTCCAGCTTTGTTCTTTTTGCTTAGGATTCTCTTGGCTATGCGGGCTCTTTTTTGGTTCCATATGAACTTTAAAGTAGTTTTTTCCAATTCTGTTAAGAAAGTCATTGGTAGCTTGATGGGAACGGCATTGAATCTGTAAGTTACCTAGGGCAGTATGGTCATTTGCACGATATTGATTCTTCATATACGTGAGCATGTAATGTTCTTCCATTTGTTTGTGTCCTTTTTTATTTCATTGAGCATTGGTTTGTAGTTCTCCTTGAAGAGATCTTTCACATCCCTTGTAAGTTGGATTCCTAGATATTTTATTCTCTTTGTAGCAATGGTGAATGGGAGTTCACTCATGATTTGGTTCTCTGTTTATCTGTTTTTGGTGTATAGGAATGCTTGTGATTTTTGCACATTGATTTTGTATCCTGAGACTTTACTGAAGTTGCTTATCAGCTTATGGAGATTTTTGGCTGAGACGATGGGGTTTTCTAAATACACAGCCTTGTCATCTGCAAACAGGGACAATTTGACTTTCTCTTTTCCTAAGGGAATACACTTTATTTCTTTCTCTTGCCTGATTGCCCTGGCCAGAACTTCCAACACTGTGTTGAATAGGAATGGTGAGAGAGGGCATCCTTGTCTTATGCTGGATTTCAAAGGGAATGCTTCCAGTTTTTGCCCATTCACTATGATACTGGCTGTGGGTTTGTCATAAATAGCTCTAATTATTTTGAGATGCGTCCCATCAATACCTAGTTTATTGAGAGTTTTTATCATGAAGGGCTGTTGAGTTTTGCCAAAGGCCTTTTCTCCATCTATTGAGATAATCATATGGTTTTTGTCATTGGTTCTCTTTATATGATGGATTACGTTTATTGATTCACGTATGTCGAACCAACCTTGCATCCCAGGGATGAAACCGACTTGATAAAGTGGATAAGCTTTTTGATGTGCTGTTGGATACAGTTTGTCAGTATTTTATTGAGGATTTTCGCTTTGTTGTTCATCAGGGTTATTAGTCTAAAATTCTCTTTTTTTGTTGTGTGTCTGTCAGGCTTTAGTATCAGGATGATGCTGGCCTCATAAGATGAGTTAGGGAGGATTCTTTCTTTTTCTGTAGATTGGAATAGTTTCAGAAGGAATGGTACCAGCTCCTGTTTTTACCTCTAGTAGAATGCAGCTGTGAATCCGTCTGGTCCTGGACTTTTTTTGGTTGGTAGGCTATTAATTATTGCCTCAATTTCAGAGCCTGTTATTGGTCTATTCAGGGATTCAACTTCTTCCTGGTTTAGTCTTGGAAGGGTGTATGTGTCCAGGAATTTATCTGTTTCTTCTAGATTTTCTAGTTTATTTACATAGAGGTGTTTATACTATTCTCTGATGGTAGTTTGTATTTCTGTGGGATCGGTGGTGATATCCCCTTTATCATTTTTTATTGTGTCTATTTGATTCTTCTGTCTTTTCTTCCTTATTAATCTTGCTAGTGGTCTATCAATTTTGTTGATCTCTTCAAAAAACTAGCTCCTGGATTCATTGTTTTTTTAAGGGATTTTTGTGTCTCTGTCTCTCTCAGTTCCGCTCTGATCTTAGTTATTTCTTGCCTTCTGGTAGCTTTTGAATTTGTTTGCTCTTGCTTCTCTAGTTCTTTTAATTGTGATGTTAGGGTGTCGATTTTAGATCTTTCTGCTTCCTCTTGTGTGCATTTAGTGCTATAAATGTCCCTGCACACACTGCTTTAAATGTGTCCCAGAGATTCTAGTACATTCTGTCTTTGTTCTCATTGGTTTCGAAGAACATCTTTTTTTCTGCCTTCATTTCGTTATGTACCCAGTAGTCATTCAGGAGCAGGTGGTTCAGTTTCCATGCAGTTGTGTGGTTTTGAGTGAGTTTCTTAATCCTGAGTTCTAATTTGATTGCACTGTGGTCTGAGAGACAGTTTGTTGTGATTTCTGTTCTTTTACATTTGCTGAGGAGAGCTTTACTTCCAACTATGTGGTCAATTTTGGAATAAGGGCGGTGTGGTGCTGAGAAAAATGTATATTCTGTTGATTTGGGGTGGAGAGTTCTGTAGATGTCTATTAGGTCAGCTTGGTGCAGAGCTGAGTTCAAGTCCTGGATATCCTTGATAACCTTCTGTCTCGTTCATCTGTCTAATATTGACAGCGCTGTGTTAAAGTCTCCCATTATTATTGTGTGGGAGTCTAAGTCTCTTTGTAGGTCTCTAAGGACTTGCTTTATGAATCTGGGTGCCGCAGTATTGGTTGCATATATCTTTAGGATAATTAGCTCTTCTTGTTGAATTGATGCCTTTACCATTATGTAATGGCTTTCCTTGCCATTTTTGATCTTTGTTGGTTTAAAGTCTGTTTTAACAGAGACTAGGATTGCAACCCCTGCTTTTTTTGCTTTCCATTTGCTTGGTAGATCTTCCTCCATCCCTTTATTTTGAGTCTATGTGTGTCTGCACATGAGATGGGTCTCCTGAATACAGCACACTGATGGGTCTTGACTATCCAGTTTGCCAGTCTGTGTCTTTTAATTGGGGCATTTAGCCCACTTACGTTTAAGGTTAATATTGTTATGTGTGAATTTGATCCTGTCATTATGATGTTAGCTGTTTATTTTGCTTGTTAGTTGATGCAGTTTCTTTGTAGCATCGATGGTCTTTACAATTTGGCATGGTACCAGTTGTTCCATTCCATGTTTAGTGCTTCCTTCAGGAGCTCTTGTAAGGCAGGCCTGGTGATGACAAAATCTCTCAGCATTTGCTTGTATGTAAAGTATTTTATTTCTCCTTCACTTATGAAGCTTGATTTGGCTGGATATGAAATTCTGGGTTGAAAATTCTTTTTAAGAATGTGAATATTGGCCCCCACTCTCTTCTGGCTTGTAGGGTTTCTGCCGAGAGATCTGCTGTTAGTCTGACAGGCTTCCCTTTGTGGGTAACCCAACCTTTCTCTCTGGCTGCCCTTAACATTTTTTCCTTCATTTCAACCTTGGTGAATCTGACAATTATGTGTCTTGGGGTTGCTCTTCTCTAGGAGTATCCCATTCTTCTCTTTATCACTCTTCATCCTTATCACTAGCCCTTCCAGGTGAGAGCTTTCTATTCTTTGCAAACACTTGCACAAATTATATATGAGGATATTGATTTGCAGCTTTATTTATAAAAGTAACTGAAATAATGAGATGAAATGATAGTCATCTAATTAATGCCACTAAATTGTGCACTTAAAATTGTTAAATGACAAATTTTATGTTATATATGTTTCTACTACAAAGTTTTAAAAAAATAATAATGTAGTAAATGCCAAAAATCATTGAATTATACACTTTAAATGGGTGAATTGTATGCTATGTGAATTATATCTCTATAAAGCTGTTACAAAATAAGAAAATACAATGTGCTTATATACATATATATGTACACACTAAAATGTAACTGTAACCACAGATCATGTTTGAAAATTAGACTAACATTTTTTTTTTCTAGGAGGAGTATGTTATTACTGTTTTGTGTAGAATAGGTACCACTTGGTAACAAAAAGCAGAATTACTTTTATTTGGTCTTATTGCTGTTTGAAAATTCTCTACAAATGATGAATCCCTTTATTGCTTGCAACTAGGCTGGATGACTACTATTGTCCCTCCTTTGTGAGGACACTTCATACACCACTCCCCCGCCCCCCCCCACACACTCACACACATACACTCACAAAGTTACACACACGTATAATGAATGTGTACATTTATATACATGTATGCATGTGAGTGTGTCAATACCTCTTGGCAACTCTTTAACTCATTTTTTATTTCCTTGACCCAGCTAAATTTTTAGTTAGTGAAAAAAGTTGACATTGATACAAAAATTATCTTAAAATTGTGCAGCAATACAGTAAAAACATCAGCAGGAATCTGTGACTTGGAAACTTATCAAGGCAAGTGAAATTATAAATACCCAATTTCACTTTGGAGAGAAAAGTATGCAGTGTTTCACCTTGAATACAGAGCAGAATAGGTCTTTATTCTAACTGACTGTTGAATTTCACAGAATAAATATTTCAAATATTTTCAATATTTTTAGTTTCCAAGCCACTCTTGTATCTTAAATTATAAGAATTGTCTTCCACTTCCTACTTTATTAAAAGTTTTGAAAACATTCCATTGAACCTAGGTAAGTTTGCATCTCAACATTTCTTTGTTTTTTAAAATCTTATTTTTATTTTTTAACAAATCCATGTTTATTGGAGTTGTTTGAACTAATTTTTAAATAGTGCCTTACCACATAGGGAGAATCAAATCAGCTTCTCAATGAAGGAGGGACAAGGTCATTTAGAGTCATTAAACAAGGCCATTAGGAAATGTCTCTTGTCTATCAGTTAAAACCACACACAAACACTGTTGTATCATCATTCATCCTTCCTCTGTCTTTCCCTCCCTTCTTCCTTCCTTCCTTTATTCCTTCTTCACATGAAAAGTATTCCATCTCCTTTTTCAAACTAAGATCTCATTTCTTGACTGGATAGAGAGGTATGTCCTTTGAATCCTCACTAAATATGTTACATTCTTCGCACAAGCACACTTAATTTTCTTTTTATGCTAACAAAAACAAACAATTTTAGCTGTCTTTCTTCTCTACATATTATCCCATCATTCTCTTTTTAATCTACAATCTCTTGAAAGTCACTCAAGATCTACTAAATGCAATACCATAGTTGCCTCTGCTTTGACCTTTCTCTGAAGAGTTGATGCACTTGATTGCACATTTTTCTTCAAAATTATCTCTTCTTTTGACTCCTAGAAACCTGTATCTCTTCATTCTCTTTTGAATTTTCTAACTATCCTTCTGTGATGGTTAATACTGAGTGTCAACTTGATTGGACTGAGGGATGCAAAATATTGTTCCTGGGCCTGTCTGTGAGGGTGTTGCCAAAGGAGATTAACATTTGAGTCAGTGGATTTGAAGATACCACCCTCAGTCTGGGTGGGCACCATCAAATCAGCTGCCAGTGCTGCTAGAATAAAGCAGGCAAGAGAACTTGGGAGAACTTGACTTGCTGAATCTTCTAGGCTTCATCTTTCTACCGTGCTGGATGCTTTCTGCCCTCGAACATCAGATTCCAAGTTCTTCAGTTTTTGGACTCTTGGACTTACACCAGTGGTTTGCCAAGGGCTGTCAGGCTTTTGGCCATAGACTGAAGGCTGCACTGCTGGCTTCCCTACTTTTGAGGTTTTGGGACTTGGACTGGCTTCCCTGCTCCTCAGCTTGCAGATACCCTATTGTGGGACTTCACCTTGTGATTGTGTGTCAATATTCCCTAATAAATTCCCTTTCATATATACATCTATCCTATTAGTTCTGTGCCTCTAGAGAACCCTAAGACACCTTCAGTTTCATTTTCTGGCTTTTCTTTCTTCTTTGACTTTAAAATTTAGCTATTTTATGAGGTTTTGTTATTTGTTCCACTAGCTGTGTGAGCTTGAGCAAATTACCTAATCTCTCCTAGCTTCTTCATCTGTAAAAATATATATTTAATAATGACTATGAAGATTAAATAAATTAATATTTGTGAAGTGTATAGAATGGTGTTTGACAGTTTCACACATGATAAATGACCTGAGTTTGTTAAATAAATAAACCATTCCTACCATCTTTTCAATTTATGCTTCTCCCCTGTGTAATCTTGTCAGCAGTTTTCTCAAAATGACTTTCAAAAATTTATTTTTACATTTGACCTACATTTTACCTGTTTTGCTCAAGATAAACATTTTCAATTATTTCCTTCTTATCACCCTATGGTAAAGTTCAACAGAAAACATGACTTGTGCATAAAGAGTCCATGTGGTGTACATGAAGACAACTGACCCCCCTAACAAGGGCCTCATGAGAACAGTGGAATTGCCTGACAGCCTCCAGCTGCCACACCTCTGAGATCTGCCAAATCTTGATGTTGAAGCCGTGCTTTCCTTAGGATACTCCCAGCCAATGACTGAACATGGAAAAGGTACAGGAGTTGGGCCATTCTGTCCCAAAGCAGGATCCATATTGAAATATTGAGCAAATACGCTGTGGGAAACCCCGCTGGCCTGACGAGGGCTTTCTAAGAGGTGTGCCATACACTGAGACTTTTCCTACCCAATATTGAAATATTGAGCAAATACCCTACCCAATATTGAGATATTCTTACCCAATATTGAGATATTGAGCAAATACCCTGGGGGAAACCCGTTGGCCTAGTGAGGGCTTTCTCAAGGTGTGCCATACACCGAGGCTTTTCCTACCCAATGCTTCCCATTTTCCTTTCACAAATATGAGACCAGCATCAAAGCAGGATGACTTTATCTGCCCACTCCTGCTCCCTTTCCTTAAACTTTTGTAGAAAATGTTTGGCACTTCTAATTTGGTGCTGATGTTTGCTTTCTGTATTAGCCAAACGGACCCAGCATAATTTGGTATCATTTCCGATCATTGAAAATTATTGAAAAAGTAATTAACAAAATACTTCCACAAACTGGGAAGGTCATGAGCTCTTGAAAGATTATTTCCCAAATCTAGAGCAACAAATTTAGATGTGCTGACACAAATTTAGATTTTAAGTACTTAATAATGTCTTTTTCATTTTCAAATATGTGATTTCTATGATGATTTCTAATTGCCACTGTCAAAAGATGTGGTCTTTAGGATACTAATCTTTGAAATGTGTAATATTTATTTTTGACCTATAATATGGTCAATTTTTGTTAAGATTCAATATATGCTTTTAAAAATATATACACTCTACATTTGTAGAATTCAGGTTTTTATAATTATATTTCATCATTTGCTGTTGTTTAACATCAAATTTTATCCTTGTTGATCTTTTTTTTTACACTATCATCTGAGAAAGATACATGGACATGTTCCTATTTCTTGTAAATCTTCATTTAAAAAAATTATGTGTTCAAAAGTGTTTCTTCTCAGTGTTCTCTTCCTAAATCTCATTTTGAAATAGGCCTTCTTTTGCTTTATCATATTTTACATTTAAATTTAATATCAGGTACAGGTTTATGTTTCATACTGGTCAGCACTGGATATGCACTTTTAATCTGAAACCCCATGTCATTCTCGACATTTGGAAAATCCTCATTCTTTAATATTATTTTTCTACTATTCTTTCCATTCTGTTTTTAAATTCTCTTTCATTAAAATAAAAATCTCCTTCCTCTTCATCTTGGCGGTAGTATTTTTTTTTTTTTTTTTGAGACAGGGTCTTACTTTGTCACCCAGGGCAGAGTACAGCGGTGCAATCATAGCTCACTGCAGCCTCAAACTCCCAGGCTCAAGCAATCCTCCCTCCTCAGCCTCCCAAGTAGCTGGGACTATAAGTATGTGTCACCATGCCCATGACCAGTCAATTTTTTTTTCTTTTTCTTTCTTTCTTTCTTTTCTTTTCTTTTTTTTTTTTTTTTGTAGCTATGAGGTCTCTCTGTTGCCCAGACTGGTCTCAAACTCCTGAGCTCAAAGTGACCCTCCTGCCTTGGCCTCCCAGAATGTTGGCATTACAGGCATGAGTCACTGCACCTAACCCATCTTACCTGTATTCTACTTTACTTTAATTATAAGTTTATTACCTTCTAATTTACTGTTTTCCCTTTGACTGAAACGAAGTAAGTTTAATCATAAACATTTAATTTTATTTTTACTTTAATAATTACATCTTTAAAAATGTCCTGGTTTTCTGAGGGATATTTTTCTGTTTATATTCTCTTGACTCATGTCTGTCTGATTTTGTTTCATAATATAGTATTCTTTTTATAATAGGTGTTATTAATTTATTACTTTCGGGATCATAATTTTCTGATTTTAAAGATATTCTCCAATTCCTCTATCATCTTCCATTTTGGCAGGGAATTTATTTTTTATCTTCCCAACCCTACAGTTTTTTGGGTTGTTTTACTTACTTTTAGTTTTCCTTGTGTTGTTGGGTGTATTCTTTCTGTGGACCTATCTTGAGTTCATTATTCCCCTGTTTCAAATCCAATAATACATTTTATATTGCTCAATGAAGGCCCTTCTACTTGCATGAAGCTGTTAAAAGAAAGACTAATATGAACCAAGGTCAGTCCAAGTGGTTTTATCTTTTCTTTGCATATATTTTGGAGTGGATGAAGTGAAGTTTTAGTCAGCAGCGCAGCTGTTTTCAGGCTCCTTCCAGGGGAGCCTGGATCCCTTTGCCTGTTGCTGGAATGCGGTGTATCTGGCTCCCTCCATTCTCCATGTCCGGGGGCCTTTCTTCCTCATTACCCCACAGGTAACTCTTCTTGATTTTGGATGCCAGTGAGTCTGGTCCGGGGCTTTAATGCCACAGCACTCATGACTCTGGGATTTTGTTTCATTTCTGATCTATAGAGTATTACTTTGTCCTTGAACGTGGCTACATTTGATGTTTATTATTTATTTATTTATTTTATAATTACTGTGCTGTGTTTAGGGTTGATGGGGAAGTTCAAAGCATGACCTCAATGTACTATTTTACTAGAAGATTTTGCCAAAGTTTCTAGTACATCCTTTCTAGTATCGCCAGTGTTATATTTTTAACCATTAAATCCCATTTCACTTCTGCCTTTGTTTAATCACTTTGGCTCTTTTTTTCAGATATGCCAGTCTCAGTGGGGGCATTTAAGATCCCCCACCATCCTTGATCTAGTCCTATTCTGCTTATCCAGTTATCTCCTATTACACCTAACAACTTACCACAACAAGCTACACTATTCAACCATGTCCATTCGTCAAAATCATACACATCTTTCAACTTGTAGTCTGAAGACCTCCTCTGAGTAAGAACTTCGCAAAACCGCTGCAATTCAGCTGTACACATGCCTTTGTTCAGAACTTTCTACATCCCACATTTTATTAAAATCTCTTGTATTTATTTCTACTACTGGATTACAGTTTCCTTAATGTAAAGAGCCGTGGCTTAGCAATATAAAGATTTTGTGTGATCATTATAGGTAAACTGGCCAAATTAATCGACATTTGAGATGAGCTCTACACTTTCCAATTTGTACCCCAATTCAGGATTACAACATCCATCAGTGGAAAACATGTACTATCCATATTTTGACAAGGGTTGATTTTTGAGTAATTGACAAAGTACAAACTATAATAACAACAAAAGCTAATATTTACGTGTAACTTCTCATGTGCCAGCATTGGTATAAACACTTAACATATAAGAACTCATTTAATCCACACAACAATCCCATAAGGCAGGCACTATGAGCACCTTCATCTTAGAAAGGAAAAAACGGAGGCACAGAATATTGTACTGCACAGAGAAGTGCTGTCCAAATTTACACAGTAAATTGCAGACCTGGACTTACACAGAAGCAGTCTGTGTCTTGAGTCTAGTCTCTTAGCCACCATATCCTAGACGCTGTCCTGGATACATAGCACCTTTTCATAGACTAAGCAAATGAATGGTGCAAAAATCACTTCATGTGGCTTTCAACAGATAAATCAAGCCACTATATGATGGATTCCTAGGTTGATTATATATTCCACGGAGAATTGGAGTAAAGGGTTCCACTCTACCGTGGTAGTCTCAATTGCATTGATGCTGCATGGCCTCTTTTCTTTCTCTTAGAAATATTTGTGGTTGCACATATGAATTAGGAAGATTAGTTTTCTTAGCTACCTTCTTCTATGGAAATCTAATGCCTCCAACACAAGACATGCCTTAAAAGCTTGGGGAGAGAAATATGAAAAATGAGTTAATGGTTCCCTTCCCTTCATACTTCATTCCATGACTATGTGCAAATGATGAGAAAGGGTTTCTTCTCCTTCTTCTTATTATTTTTTGAGATAGAGTCTTGTTCTGTTGCCCAGGCTGGAGTGAAGGGGCCTGATCTTGGCTCACTGCAACCTCTGCCTCCCGGGTTCAAGCGATTCTCGTGCCTCAGCCTCCCGAGTAGCTGGGATTACAGCCATGTGCCACCATGCGCAACTAATTTTTGTATTTAAAGTAGAGACAGGGTTTCATCATGTTGGCCAGGCTGGTGTCAACTCCTGACCTCAAGTGATCCACACGCCTCGGCCTCCCAAAGTGCTGGGATTACAGGCGTGAGCCACCATGCCTGGCCCCAGGCTTTTTTACTGATGGAGGTTCAGTATACGTATTTTTAGGTTGGGGGAGAGAAGAGAGTAAGATATCAAATATCTAAATGATATAATACAGTCTATAATAATTTGTGTTACATATTTAATGTTTAGATAATAATGGTTTGGGGCTTGCTGTCTACAAGAATATCAGCTCCTGGTAACCGATTGAGTCTTTTTAATCGGAAGATAACCTGATATATCTTAGGATCCCTGGGTAATGATTTTTTAGTTTGATTTGTGGAAAGCATCATCATTTGTTAATCCACTAACTGAAATAGGATAAACATAATCTCCAACTTTCTTCCATATTGAGTGGCTAGAAAATTATAATGACCTGACATTTGCTAAATATTTTCAAAAGTAGACCACAAAAGAGTACAACATTTATTTTCATCTTTAATATTGATGGAAAGATTACCAATGGAATGTCACAGATGAAGTGACCTTTTAGATATGCTGGTATTATCAACCCATACATTACATCTGTAAAAAAAAAAAGGGAGACTGTGAGTAAAGTACATCTTTTTGCAATATCTGGAAGTATAATAATTAGTCACACTCCCTCTGGCAATTTTCATCATAACTAAATTGATCACTTTAGTGGCAGAAAAACTCTTTTATAAACTTTATTCAAATCACTACAAAATAGGGAATAATTCATAATCTGGAAGTAGAATGCACCCACTAATTATAATTATCATAGAGTTGATTCATTCACTAGAATTATGGTAAAATTAATACTGTATCTAAATGTAAACCAACCTACTTTTTGGACTGATTTTCCTTTAATTGAAGGACACTCACTGTTCCTGAGTTTACCAAATGTTTGAAACCAAATTGTCAATAATTCTTTAATTGTTAAAATAGCTGATATTTCCCATGAAACACTCTCTTGTCCATTACTTTGCTTTTAGGTAAGAGGAGTTTAATTAAAGTTTTGTCTCAAATTCTTTAACTCCTCTACTATTAGGGATCTGATACCAAGAATGCTTTAAAAATCTGGCTTTAGATATGAAGGGGGATGATCATTTTCAGTTACTGGATTTAAACAGAAGTAAAATGGGTTCTTAGTGCATTTTCTTTCTAAAAATTAAAATTTTCTTTGTATGACACATTCTTCTTAAACTGGCTTCTGAGTTCATTGTTTCCCTTCTCTAAAGAGCCCAGGGTTGTAGCCTGACATTCTTTGTTTTCTCCTAAGATGTCATATGGGATCACCTTTAGTCACAGTAGGAAAATAGACAAGGGCAAAACCTACAAGATAAAGAAGCCCAAAATTTGAAAGTAAATTTTATCATATTCTCATTGTTTTTGGCCTAGAGCTCCTTTGTGAAATTATATCAGGGAAACTAATGGATTCTGGCCCTTTGATTATGAAGGTAAGATCCATCCAACTAACAAGACCCTCATTTTTTGTACCTCTTCAACACTACGGTTTAGCTCCTGAAGCCTGAACAATCAAATATAGATCATTCAAGTGTCTCTTTACTTAAAAGAGTTTCCAAAATAGGGGATTTCCAGACTAGTGAATCCCACATTACTGTGACCATCCCTAGGTCACTGGAGGGAGAGTCACCCTTATGACATTTCTTCACAATATCATCAAACATTTAATCCAGTCAGTCAATGTAAGTGAACCCCTGTAAACTCTCAATGCACTCAGCAGTCTACTATAGGTGATGAATAATATGGTGTGATTGGTTGATAATGGTCTCTTCTAGCTCAATCTGGAAAAGTGAAAGAGGTGAGAGAGTGAATGAAAATCTTTCTAGATCAGAAGATACCTGAGTCATGAGTTGGTTTACCAGTTGGAAAATAAGAGGAAAGACAATCAGTGCAGAAGGAAGACAAGAGTGATATAAAACAGCATGAGCTCTTTGAGATTGTATAAACAATAGAAATGGTAGCTAATATTTAAACTAGCAATATGTGAGAATATTACTGAAAGATTAGTAAAATATTGAAGTTTATAGATAATTTAGTTTCCTAAAGCTATTCTGGAGTACTGGGTTACCTCTAAGCAAATACCTTGACTAGTTCTATTTTCCACTCTTTGTAAAGAAAATGAAATGAAACCATAGCTATATGGGGTCTCTGACTTCATTTCTAAAACAGCATGCTATGAATCATAAGAAAAAAAGAATTTATATTCAAAAGTAAGTCAGAATCCCAGGCACGTTTAATATGCAGTCCATAGTGTCTTATGGCTATTACATAAGTGTCTGAAGCTCAGAGATGCTTTATATCTTGGGTGCAGTAACCAGAAATAAACCAGTCTATATTCACAGATAGCAAGAATAATGTAATATTGATTATCTCCATGAAAAGTAAAAGAAAATAATGAGCTTATAATTTAGTATTTTACTGTGATAAACGCGTGACTGCCGTAGGGTCTTTGAGCATTCTTCTCTGCTCCGCTCACAATGATATTTTCCCTTACAGTCAGAAAGGCTTCCTCTTTCCACATTCTTTAGGATTCAGTATAAATCTCAGTGACTCAGACAGGCCTTCTTCCAGTGCTGTGCCACTATCCAGTCCCTTGTTCTCATGATCATATCCCTCTACGTTCTCCTAGAACTTAGCACGGGCTGCAGTGACCTTGTTTGCCTATGTGTATTCTTATTCTGAAAAAGAAGCCCCATAAGGGCATGGGTTATTTGCCTTAATTATATAATGTACATGACATTATTATATAACAGGACACAAGAAGGAGATTTGGTAAGGCTTTATGGAAGAATGTAAAGTAGAAAGGGGATAAAAAACTGGTTCAAAATTATCCTAAGGAGATGAATGGTGGTGATTTATGATTTCTTTCCTTCCTTTCCCTCCTTGCCTCTCTCTGTCCTTATTTCCCTTCCCTCCCTTCCCCCCACTCCTTCTTTCCTTTCTCCCTCCCCTTCCCGTTCCCTTCCCCTTCACTTCCCTTCCCTTCCTTTCCTTTCCTTCCACTTATTAATAGGCCATGGGCCAGAATGCCATTCACAATATATTAAATCCATATTATTATTCTTGAAAATTGGTGTGGAAATTAACTTTTGTGCACATTATTGATAATTATTTTGGCAATTACCTTGCTCTGCAGCGTCACAGCTGCTAAATCTTGATTTCTCACTGATACTTGGCTGGCAGCAGCTACTAATGCTACAGCTTGAAGATCTCTGCCTATCAGTCACAGTGAACAGTCTGTTTGCAAATATTTTTAAATGCCCAGGGGTAATTGGCCATTTAAACAAACATTTGAGTAAAGTTTTAAATAATGAAAGCGTTCCCTTATTTATTTTATGCATCCTTATTTGCATCATGATCATATTTAACACACAGACTGATAAATAGCAATAGGAAGAGAAATGCATTTCTTGTTGTTAATTTTACAAATGGTTCCATCAACCTCTCTGTTGGTATCTTTCCTGTTTATATATATGAACTAGAGGCAGTTGACAGTAGCTCCCCCATATTATCTAGAGATCTACTAAACAAACCTGTACATCAAAATAATTTGAAATTATACTATTTTCTAAGTGCCTATTATATTTGTGCATATAACATTCAAATTTCTGGATAAGTGAAATTTTAAAGTGTTTAAAGAAAGGTATCAGATATCCAGAAAACTATCATTTATTTAAATGAAAAAAAAGTGAAAGGAAATATCACACAGAGTAAACCTGTTCAGTAGTAAGTTTTTGTAAATTTTACAAGTGGAATGAATATATATATTTTGTGGATACTACATTCAGTTTTTTATTAAAGGCAATATTTGTTACTGAAGCATCTAATATTTAAATTTCCTAATGTTTGTTATGTTTACATAATTCAACAACTGTAATATAAGGAACGTTTAATTTTGTCCATTATAGCTATTTAGCTAAGGAATAGCTTCCTTCAGTTAAGAAAACCTCTGTCTTCATTGTCATAAACTTTTTGATGTGAAGATGTATATGTGTGCGTGTGCACGTACATGTATGAGGACACATTTATTTTAAATAGCCATAGATTTTGTAATGTCTACTATCAATTTCCTTTATTTATATAATTTTCCCAAAAGAATGAAGATACTGATTTATAAAAATGTGAATATCAAGATAAAATAATTTAGGGAATTTTTTATGCTTCCAATTAAAAAATTCCTTTAAAAGCAGCAATAATTATAGATAAAATGACTTCATTTTTACCTTGACTAAATATCTGATATTCTATGATTGAATATACTTTCATAGCATTTTATGCCTACTATCATATTGATGGTGTTTTATTGCTGTTATTTAAAGACAATCATAATCACTATTCTAAAAAAAATGTTTTCTGCACAAAGAGGGCACCAATCTTCTAAGTGGGTATAATCTGGGATCTGGATTATACACTGAAGTCTGGACTCACGATTATGACCATATTATTAGAAAATGTCCCCTCTGACTTTAAAGCTAATGAGCATTATCATTGATACTGTTTTTTATTAACTGTCTATACGCAAAGTCTCAGAAAGTAAACTAGAAATTATCACTTGGGGAGAGAACTTTAATGAGATTTAGGTAATACCATGCAATTATATTAAGTGAAATATAAATTACACTTAATTATATTAAGTTAAATATAAATTACACTTAATTATATTAAGTGAAATATAAATTACACTTAATTATATTAAGTGAAATATAAATTACACTTAATTATATTAAGTGAAATATAAATTACACTTAATTATATTAAGTGAAATATAAATTACAAGGAACTATAATCAAAGACATTGTAGCAAAGTATTAAGTATTTTACTAAGAAGAGTTTTAAATGATAAAAATTCTGACTAGTCAGATTAAAATATAATATTTAGTAACAGTGTTTCCAAAATGTAAAATTCAAGGGAAACTGTACTGCAAACAGACTGGAATATTATGGTCCACTTAGTAGACACACCACTATGTTAATTAATCTACCTGTGGTAGAGATGAAAATTTCATAGCCTGGGGATATGAAAGACTGCTTAAATCTGTTCACAGTCTTAACTTTCAACTGAAAACGTCCTGATTTTAAAATCTTTGGCAAAATAGATTATCCTCTGTAAAGAAATTAAGCTTACCATTTGCAAGCACTCTGAACCTCTTGGCATTAATATTTCTAAATATAATTAAGAATTTAGGTTTCTGGTTTATGAGTTTGTCCTTACAAATTTAATCTGTATTGTCTGTTGGGAGATCAGTGACCTCTGAGTAAACTGATAAATTAACCTTTGAATGTGTATACCTTGTATAAGGTCTTAGACCTACAGTGATTCCATAGGAGTAGCTGTCATCCATATACTTGGTGAGTTAAAAAATATAGGTTGAGGCCAGACATGGTGACTGAAGTCTGCAATCCCAGTACTTTGGGATAAAGAGGTGGGAAGATGGCTTTGAGACTAGGAGTTCAAGAAAAGCCTGGGCAACCTAGAAAGACCCCATCTGTATTAAAAATTAAATAGGTAGAATAGTAAAATGCATAGTTGTTGCTACTCCATGCAACCTGGGAAAACATGTAGAGTCACATTTTTTTTTTCGCAGGTAGTACTGAAATTTGAAATTGCTTTATTCCGACCAAAATATCAGGATAGTCCAAACTCACAGCTTTGAGACTGATACGGTTTGGCTGTGCCCCCACTCAAATCTCATCTTGAATTCTAACTCCAACAATTCCCATGTGTTGTGGGAGGACCCAGTGGGAGGTAATTGAATCATGGGGGTGGGTCTTTCCTGCACTATTCCTGTGATAGTGAATAAGTCTCATGAGATCTGATGGTTTTAAAAAGGGGAGTTTCCCTGCACAAGCTCTATTCTCTTGTCTGCCACCATGTGAGATATACCTTTCTCCTTCTGCTGTGATTGTGAGGCCTCCCCAGCCATGTGGAACTGTAAGTCCAGTAAGTCTCTTTGCCCAGTCTCAGGTATGTCTTTATCAACACCATGAAAACAGACTAATACAGAGGCATAGTGTATATATGTGTGCATATATATATATATGTGTGTGTGTGTGTGTGTGTGTATATCTTGCACATATTCATACACAAGCAACAAGCATTATGAGGAATAACACTTAGTGGAAAATTATGCTTTCATGTTCTATTTCGCAGGTACATACAGAAACAAGTGACAGGGATTGAAGTCCTTTTTAAATTATTGATCGTGTTTTATAGTCACTGTCATTTTGCATGAATGCAGACAGATAGAAGAACTATCTACACTTTATGTGAATAGCTAAGTCTAATGATGTTAATATATTTAAGCTGTCTTATGTGGAATACAGAGGAAGATCAGTCGCAGAACTAAAAGAGTAAAATAATGGTTGAAGATGTATGTAAGAACAGAATAGACACGATTCCATTCCGAGATCTCCCTATTTCACCATTCCTTAGTGAGGTGGCATTGGAATTAGTATCAAGACAATATATTTTTGTAGTTAATGTCACATGCATTAAGTACATGTTATCTGTTTCTTAAATAATGTGTGGTTTAGTCCATAATTCAGGCCAGCCAATTTTGTTTTATACTTACTCTTAATAAAGACAAGAATTTAATTAAATTTTTAAGAACTGTGATTCTGAATCTGATGACCATCAACAGAAAGTAAACTGAGAAAAGTCCAAGTCAACAGCTCTCCTTAGAATAATGGCACATTTATAAGACTGATTCTTGTCTAGAAATCCATACATTATAAACCACGTTATGAAGTACAACCTAAAATAGTCAACAACTGGAAGCATTCTTTATAAAACATATATATAATATAATTAAAAAGTTGTCACTCAGATCACCATGTTATTAGGCAGGTTATTTGAATTTGAACAAAACATTTGTGAAAAATTGTGTCTATACATATTCATCTTAAAATATGACAGCAAAATATGCTCTTTCAGTGTCATGTTAGAATTTCAGGCATTGCTCATTCCCATGAAAATAATTTAAGCATCCCAATAGTTTATCCTAACAAATTTGCCACATCCTGGAGCCTCAAGCACACATTGTCAGAAATATTTTTGTGTGTACCATTTCCAAAGGAACATCATTTAATTTAGTCAAGCAAACTTTAAGATTTTATTCAGTGGCACTACTAAGCATTGTGGTAAGTGCTAGGTGTACACAATATCAGAGTGTAATCCCTGTCCTGAAGGCATGTGGAGTAAGTGATAGAGGCAGGCCATAAATTATTCTGTAAAATTATGAGAAACTGTGTCTCCACTGTGCTCTGGAGAGACAGAGGAGGCAGAAAGTGACCATGCCCAGGGCATCAGGGAACAAATAGAAAAGGGATGGGACATTTGAAGACATTTGAAGGCATTTACCAAATTGAAAAGTTGAGGTAAGACTTGCCCAGTCTTTGTTTTGTTTTGTTTTGAGACGGAGTCTCGCTCTATTGCCAGGCTGGAGTGCAGTGGTGTGACCTCGGCTCACTGCAACCTCCCCTCCCAGGTTTCTCCTGCCTCAGCCTCCCAAGTAGCTGGGAATACAGGCGGGTGCCACCCAGCTAATTTTTGTATTTTTAGTAGAGACAGGGTTTTACCATGATGGCCAGGCTAGTCTCAATCTCTTGACCTCGTGATCTGCCTGCCTTGGCCTCCCAAAGTACTGGGATTACAGGCATGAGCCACTGAGCCTGGCTTTTTTTTTTTTTTTTTTGAGATGGAGTCTCCCTCTATTGCCCAGGCTTGAGTGCAATGGCACAATCTCGGCTCACTGCAACCTCTACCTCCTGGGTTCAAGTGATTCTCCTGCCTCAGCTTCCTGAATAGCTGGGACTACAGTCATGCACCTCCATGCCCGGCTAGTTTTTTGTATTTTTAGTAGAGACGAGGTTTCACCATATTGGCCAGGCTGGTCTGATCTGGAACTCCTGACCTCGTGATCTACCCGCCTTGGCCTCCCAAAGTACTAGGATTACAGGCTTAAGCCACCACACCCAGCCTTTTTTTTTTTTTTTTTTTTTTTTTTTGAGGCAGGGTCTCTCTCTGTTGCCCAGACTGGAGTGCAGTGGTGCAATCTTGGCTCACTGCAACTTCTGCCTCCTGGGCTCAACATATCCTCCTGCTCAGCCTCCCGAGTAGCTGAGACTACAGGCTTCCCAGTCTTTGTGCAGGACACAGAGCATTATTAAAGAAGGAAAGTCTATTAAAGGATGGTGAGTACCCTACTATAATTGAGGTACAAGGAGACTGTCTGCAGTTAAGCCAGAAAGACAGGGTATGATCAGGTCTGGCTTAGTCTGTTATAGCATGACATACATTTTGGACTATATCTGATAGGGTGATTGGGTGTTATGAAAATTGAAAACATTCCCCCACAATTAGAAGAATACTATGTAATAATAAAATAAAATTTGGAAAATATAAAACAGTAAAAATATCACAAGTATCTGCCTATTCTATCAGACATTGAGTAGACAGAACAATGACTGCCTCTCCCCATGGCCCTGCCAAAGAGATTTACACCCTTATCCCCAGAATCTCTGAGTGTGTTACATAAAGGACTTTGCAGATGTGATTAAGTTAAGGAATTTAAGATGTGAGGTTTATCCTGAATTATCCGGGTGGGCCCCGTGGGATCACAGGGGTTTTTATAATGGAAAGGGGGAAGCAGATGATTCAGAGGCAGGAGGAGGCAAAGGAAGGGGAGTGAGTGAGTGTGTATGTGTAAGAAAGAGAGAGAGAGCTCGCTGTGGGAAAAAGAGAGAGGAAAGGAGACAGAGGGAGGAAGAGAGAGAGTCTGAGATTTAAAGACGCTACACTACTGGCCTTGAAGATAGAGGAGGGAGCCATGAGCCAAGAAATGCAAGTGACCTCTACAAACTGGAAAAGTCAAGGAAGTGAATTCTCCCCTGGAACCTCCAGAAGGAAAGCAGCCCTTCTAATACCTTGATTTTAAGGATTCTGATCTCCAGACTTGTCAGATAATACATCTGTGTTGTTTTAAGCCACTAAGTTTGTGGTGAATTCTTACAGCGCCTGTAGGAAACTAATCCAACATGTAAACTCCAAGAGGGCAAGGCTTGTATTTCTCTAAGAGAGTCATAAATCCATCTTATTCTTGCCACAGAGTAGGTGCTTAAAAGTTATTTTGTGGTGAATGAAGATTTCATCAAGAACATGAAAAATGACAGATTACAAACAACAGGCTGTATGATTTATTGGAAGCCGATTTAAGACCGTTGTCAATGAATGTTTTTAAAGCAGGACTGTGATATGATTCAATTTGGACTTTAGAACTGAACTCTTATAGATATGAGCTAAATAGATGGGGTAGCAGAAAGAAAACACAGCTAAGAGGTATTAAAATGTGTAGATATGGAGTCATAAGGTTTTTACTGAGACAAGGATGAGGGAAAGGAGAGGAAGGAGGTATTGTGATTGAAGTCACTTAACTAAGGTATGATCAGTTGATAATCAGGGATTTACCTGGACAATGGATTCTAGCCTGAATTTGAGTTCTAGTGTTACCTTTAAAAAAAGCATAAATTTTTTTGGCAGCTTTATTGCTTGACCCTAATTTAGGAAAAAACAGACAAGGACTTGTTGACAAATATATACCATAATTGACTCATGACTGGCATATTTGAAGCAAAAACTAAGGTGCAAAGAGTTGTGCTACAGTGAGATTTTTAGATGCCAAAAAGTACTTATTGGTCACTATGTTAACATTTATGCTTTTTTTAAATCCATTTACCTCTTTGTTATTTGAGGAAAATTACACTTCGTGTTTTTCATTCTCTTCTGTGAAATGCCATTATTTCCTGAAATGGCTCAGTTGCACTTAATAGTGAAGCTTATTAAAGAGCTCTGTTTTGTTTGTATCACACTGTCTTATATAAAACACAACAGCTGCAGGACAAGACCATAAATGAATGATATTTCTCAGTTCATAGCCTTCAAATACTGTGACTCATTAAAAACCTGATGGGTAAATTGCCTGGTATCTCATTTTCAATGTAAAGAAATGGAGGACACAGAGAATGTGTGGCTGGTGTCCTTTCAGCCTAGAGAAAATTACCACAACTTCACATAAAAGAAAAGTTAATTTTGTCTCTTTTTGTCAATGTTGGACAGGAGACAACTTTAATCTTTTTTTAGTATGTTAAACAAAATTTCACATGGATAAAAATTCTTCCTAGAGATTAAGGATTCACCTCTATAAGAAATAAATGATTTTCTTCATGCCCAATTGATAAATATTAAAAATCTGTTGCCTTAGGAAGAAAACAAATTCAAATGGTTAAATGAATCTTTCATAAGTTCATTTTGTCTTGTTCTTAATACCAAACCTACAAACATTAAACTTTCATTTTTTCTGTGCTGAATTGGACTAGATTCAGGAATAAATATGGATGATTAAGAGAAGTCAGTATCCTGAAAAGTGCATCATTTAGTGATGGATTTAGGTATACAGTCAGTTCATTATGGTAGAGCTAGGGAAACACGTAATTCTGATTGGAGAGGAGTTCATAGGCAAGTGGGCAGGGAAGTCTTCCCAGCCTGCAAGCTCCAGGAGGGTAGGAACTATGTATCCTTCAGTTATAGATTATTCACACCCAAGCAATGTCAGAAACCTGGGAAAAACTATCCAATGCACCCTGAATACAGAAAGTGATGTTTAAATAAGTCTTGACAAATGTACAGACCACTACAAGTTAGGCAAGAATGAAAGGTGCTATGTATAAAGGTATGAGATGCTTATAACAGGTGGGTCATTGTTATAGACCTACAGGGCTATACCTGCAAGGTTAAGTAGAGAAGATATGGCTGGAAAAAGTTGACTGAGGTTAAGCTGTGAGGGACTTTGAAGGGCTTTATGTGTGAAATATGTTCTTCTTGAGCATTTAAAAGCTGATATGGTTTGGCTCTTTGTCCGCACCCAAATCTCACCTTGAATTATAATAATCCCCACATGTGGTGGGAGGTAATTGAATCATGCAGGCAGGTTTCTCTTGTGCTGTTCTTGTGATAGTGAATAAGTCTCATGAGATCTGATGGTTTTATAAATGGGAGTTCCCCTGCACATGCTCTCTTGTCTGCTGCCATGTAAGACATGATTTTGCTCCTCCTTTGCCTTCCACCATGATGGTGAGGCCTCCTCAGACATGTGGAACTGTGAGTTCATTAAACTTCTTTTCTTTCTAAATTACCCAGTCTTGGGTATGTCTTTATTAGAAGCTTGAGAACCAACTAATACAAAAGCTTTAGGAATATTTTCAACAGATGAAATTCAAGATCAAGGAATACTCTTACAAAGAGAGAATGGAAGACAGTTTGGAGGGTGATTAGATAGTCAAGTGGCAAGAAAACTAGTTAGTACATCGTTGCAATTTTCCTAAGACAATTAGAAGGCCTAATAAGCTGGTATAATACATTTATAAGTGTGGAAGATACTTTATATTGTTTTTCTGAAAAATAATATTTGTGAATTTCATTTACGTCATCTGGTGAATTTTAGTCTGACAAAGATATAGATAATCATTGGATATGTCTGAAAATCTCAGTAGAAGAAATCCTTTATTCAGGTGCCCAATTATTTTTCTGAATTCATCATGAGGAGAGTGAACTCCAGTTTAGGAAATAGATTTCAGTCATGTTCAGCCAGCAGAAATTTGCAGAAAGATTTCAGTCAATCTAAAAAAAAAGTAATACATACTCATTTCTCAAATTCTAGGAGCTTCTAGAGTAGCACCTCCACCTGCCATTATGAGATTATTAGTTCACAGTGAGATGGAAGTGGATATAGGACATAAGCCCTACCATTAAAACATGTAAGCTGATAGTAAGTATTAAAGAGAATGTGTATTTATTTCAGAAGCAATATATTATACTAAATTCTGGAAAAATGCTACTGTTTTGTGTTTCTTTTGTATATCAGTTATCAGGAAGGGTATTACAATGAAGGATCTCTATTTTTGGCATTTTATTGAAAAGAACTTGGAAATTTTATTATCGGAAAAAGGAATATGGCTATACCAAGTTCTGAATGCACCAACTTTTAACAGGAATTACTATTACTAGTTTTCTTATTATATTTTGGTACTAGTTTAAGCACATGCTTACTTAGGGAAAAATAATAATAATAAATAAAATATTGTATGTGAAATATATATCTTTGATTTTATCTGAACTCTATTTGGCAGAGTATATGTCAACCAGGAAAAGAAATTCTTAACTGTGATAAGAAATATTTTTGAATTGAATTTATCAACAGATATTTATCAAGCACTTACTGCTTACTGTGTATCACTAACTCTTTAGGCATTGGAAATACAGCAGAGAACAAAAGAAAGCCCACATTCTCATGGAGCTTCCTTTCCATGGAGAAAGTCAGAATCAACGAATAAGCAAACTACTCTATGACAGGTAGTGGTAAAGGCTATGAACAAAAGTAAAACAGGGTGAATGATAAAGAAATGACATTGGAAGAATACTAAAATGGGATAGAAAGTCAGGGAAGTCCTCTCTGACAAGGTGACAATTGAGGAGGAAATTGAACCAAAAATAACACCAGGATATCTGGGAGAAGAGCTTTGTACATGTACAGAGCAGCAAGTGCAAAGGCCCCATGGTTAGAGAGTGTTTGGCTTGGCCTTAGAGCTGCAGGGAGGCCAACTGGGTGGAACAATCTGAGTAAGATGAACAGGGTTAGGAATTAAAGCAGAACTCTTTATATCCCTGTGTATAAAGTGAGATGACGTTGGAAATTTCTGAGTAGAGGATTATCATGCCTTGCCTTCCATCATAAATGAATCACTGTAGCATTTCTGGGAAGAGACTCTGGGCCTAGAAAACAAGGTTGGAATCAGGGAAGTGGGAGGCTATTTCAGGGGCCCAGGTGAGACATAATAGTGACCGAGACTAGGGTGGCAGCTGTGGATGTTTTAAAAAATGGTTATGAATGTATCTTGAAATTTGTGTCTACAGGATTTTCTGTTGGATTAATTCAGTGTGTGAAAGAAAAGGGGGAATTCATTATTTTGGAGATGAGTTTCTGAAAGAATGAACTTGTTTTCTGAGTGAGGAAATTGGAAGTTAAAAAAAAGATTTAAGGCCTTAGTTGAGGTGGGATAGAATGAAATTTGATTTTCCTATTTATTAGATATCAAAATGGAGATGTCAGGTAAGCATAATATATGTAAGATTGAACTTCAGGAGAGAGGCTGAAGCTGGAGCTATAAATTTACGGATTGTAAGAAATACAGATGGTGTTTGTAGGTATGGGGTTTGATGAGATCTCCAAGAAATACATTTAGGTGGAGAGGTAAATATGGTTGAATAAGCACTGCAAAATTGTCGTCTAGAGGTATCTTTGTGATAATTAACTCCTTAGAAAAACTGGATAAGGGCGGGGCACAGTGGCTCACACCTGTAATCCCAGCACTTTGGGAGGCCGAGGCAGGTGGATCACGAGGTCAGGAGTTCAAGACCAGCCTGGCTAAGATGGTGAAACCCCATCTCTACTAAAAATGCAAAAAAATTAGCCGGGCATGGTGGCAGGCGCCTGTAATCCCAGCTACTCCGGAGACTGAGGCATAGAATTGCTTAAACCTGGAGGGGCGGAGGTTGCAGTGAGCCGAAATCACGCCACTGGACTCCAGCCTGGGCGACAGAGCGAGACTCTGTCTCGAAAGAAAAACTGGATAATAAAGGAAGATCTTTTGAAAAATAGAGTAGGCCAGAAGTCTAGATCCTATTTCTTGAGATGGGTAGCATGAGTAATGCCCCAAAGCGAAGTGGTGAGCCTAGACTTAGCCCCAACAGGCTGCAAGGAAGCTCTTCTCACTCCCCAACAGGATGGTGTTAGAGAAGGTGAAGTAAAGGGACAGACTTTTATCCCTGACAGGCTGTAATGAGGTCTCACTCTGTTGTCAGGAGATCACAGGGAGAGTCCAGCCCCCACCCACTCGGCAGTATGTGAGGCATTTCTTCTCTTCCCACTAGGCTTGTGGAGAGTCAGGACTTTTACCACCACCCAGAGGTAAGGACACCTCCCATATCCTCGTGTCAGTGGAGAGGTAGGGGGAAATAGAACTACCACTTCTACCATAAATAATGAGGAGTATCTTCCCCATGAATATCAGCAGAGGTCAAGTGGGGAATCCAGACTTTTATCCACACCTCGCAGGCATTAGGTGGTGCTCTCCCATAGCCTGCAGTAATGGAGTCTGTGGAAATCAGCTAAAACGGAAGGTTGAAATAATATCTGGAGTCCCTTACACATAATACCCCAAATGTCCGGGTTTCAGCTGAAAACCACTCATTAAACTAAGTTGGAGAGGAAGATGTCCAACTTAAAGACAATAAATAGATGCCAACAACAAGATGACAAAGATGTTTTAGAGCAAAGATTTTACAGCAGCCATCCTAAAAATGCTTCAAACAGCAACTGCAAACATGCATGGGGCAAATGTAAAACATAGGAAATCTCAACAAAGAAACACAAGATAAAAGAAGGTCAGCTAAGAGATATAAGACATAGTGATACAGTCAGCAGAGAAGTTACTTTAAATGGATGTGAATGAAGTTGTGGTTGTAAGCATGTTTTTGGTGCTTTTTTTTTTTTTTTTTTTTTGAGACAGGGTCTCACTAGGTCACCCAGGCTGGAGTACAGTGGTGCCATCATGGCTCACTGCAGCCTCCACCTCCCAGGCTCAAGAATGTTCTCCCACCTCAGTCTCTTGAGTAGCTTGGATGACAGGCAGGAGCCACCACCCCCAACTAATTTTTTGATATCTTTTAGAGATAGGGACTGCCTATATTGCCCAGGCTGGTCTTGAACTCATGGGCTCAAGTAATTCTCCTGCCTCAGCCTCCTAAAGTGCTGGGATTACAGGCATGGGCCAACACTCCTGGCTGTGCATTTTTTAAGGTGGAGAGGTTTTGGGGTAAGGAAAAGGAAAGGAATAAGCCATTGGGGAACAGTGCTGACTATAGGGGAAAATAGAAAACAGGGAACATGCAATGAAAGGTATTCATTAACTCAGTAATCAACTGATGGGGAATTTTAGTGGAGGTTATATGTACAAGGTCTTGGGCTAGGATGTGAAAGCACAAAGGAGTTTAAGATCTGCTTCTGCCTTTTAGAAAATTAAAATCTAGTTATGAGACAGGACAAACATATAAACAAGGTCTACCTGATTATCTGAGTATGAATTAATGGGCAGTAAACTGTCATTTAGCTCAGTTGTTTAAGCTGAGGTCCTGTGATGTACTTTTAGACATATCTATCACCTTTGGGGTTTTCATTTAAATAATAATCTATAAAATAATGTAAATACATTCTCTGACATCTGGATGGCAGTCTCCTACCTGCAAACACCAGGATTATTTCACTTATGTTGTGTTTATCATTCATTGCATGGTAATCAGGTCACACTGCTTTAATTTTCTTTCTTTTTTAAAATAGAGACAGGGGTGAGGTGGAGCTCACCATGTTGCCCAGGTTGGTCTCGAACTCTTGGGCTCAGACAATCCCCCTTCTTTTCCTTCCTTAGTCTCCCAAAGTGCTGGGATTGTAGGTGTTATCCACCAGGCCCAGCCAACGCTGCTTTAATTTTAATGAACTAATGAGAAAAAAAAAAACACAGGTGGACTTAAGAAATAAATGATGCATTTGAAACCAGGGAAGACAAATGACATTGCAGTATATAGAAAGCATGAATGTTTTGGAATATTTTGAATGAAGAAAAGTGTTGGGAGGATTGCATCATCTTACAGAACATGGCATAATTTATAGTCCTGCCATAATATTCTAGTCCATGAAATGATGCAACCTTCCCAGCACTTTTCTTAAGCTTGCCAGTGCACAAAAAGTAGCAATTAATACAATATTCACATAGTGGGTGGGGATTTATTTTCATCCATCTTATTCACTTGAGTGATATTAGTTTCATTACATTGTTAGTATTAATTACAATCCATTTGATTTTATAGTTATATACAATCTGTAAGAAGAAAGATTTTATGAATAGGCTTATGTTCGTACTTATTTATATGATACTACAATGAAACTAATTTAAGTCAGCACGGGTGATCTATGGGATGTTTTTCCCTTTAAAATGGATTCACATATCCTCGACGTTGGAGAAATACTGATTTAAGTTGTTCAGCAGATGACTTGCCTGATGCCATCAGAGGTTTAGGGAGAAGATAGTAGATAAATTGCAGCTGGGAGAGGGTGGACCAGGCAGGCATATTAGATCATAAGTGCAGTCAGGGTTCTGGTGATGAGAATATGAATTATGAGCAGCAGTGGCAAGACAGGGGGAAGAGAGTCAAAGAACTCCCACTGGCCAGCTTCGGGAATTGGCAGAATGATGGTGCAAATAACAGAAAGGAAGGAGTGGACAGGGGAAACTGACTATGGGGGAAAGATTTTTCATTCTATTTTGTTTTAAAGAAAATTAGAGAAATCAGGTAAAAGGAACAATAAAATGTCATGCTTGAACCCAGTGCAGGAAAATTAAATTAACATTATATGTAGAAAATTGCTTAAAAATGAGAGAAATGAATTAGATAAAAACGAAGAATTTCAAAGGAGCACAGTGTAGAAGGCAAAAATGACATGCATGGAAATCCAAATAATATATAACAGCCACTGGAGGAACAGGAATTAATGAACCCTGAAAAATTAGGCTCATAAGGTGTGAAGTAAAGTAGATGAAAATGATAAATTTGCTTAAAGTAATTCATTTTGAACTCAGGTAGGTTTTAAAATCTACAAGATATCAATAATCACCAAAAAGTACAAAACTTACAATGCATTTTGTAAGTTTGTATTTTAGCTGAAAAGTTATATCTGTTCTTGAAATTCTACGTATGAAAAAACTGCAATTATGTTAGAAAACAGAAAAGAAATACAGTAGCATTTCACTATTTATATTTGGTTAATGCATTTTGTTAACATTCATTTATCTGGATTGAGGGTTTTCACATATTTTCTAGGGAAATACCTGACTTAGGTTTTTACACTGTGGACCCAAAAGTGTTTCTACATGTATTACTTAAGAACAAATCTAGTCAGGCACAATTTTGGGCAAAACGATATACACAAAAGATTCCATAAAAATTTAAAAATAGACAAATCTAACTTGTAGTGATGGAAGTCAAAATAGTGTTTCCATCTAGGGTGGGTGTCAACTGGGTGGAATGTGGGAAATGTTCTCTCTTGTGACACAGATGGGTAGTTCCACTCAGGTATAGACATAAAAATTCATTATGAGGTACAGCCGAATATGCTTCATGTATTCCATTGTGTACGTACTTTCCTCATTAGAAAATGAAAGAGAAAGAATAAAGAGTAAACCTGTCTGTATGTCAGTGTAACTAACAGTGTAACTAACAGAGACTGCAGGAGGTGAAGTTTCACTTTCTGTGAAGAGAAATACAAGGATTGAGATGTGAAGTTATCACATCTTGAAGATTTTGCTGCAATGTCCAAATGCAAATACGAAAAGAAAGTGAAAGAAAGTAATTTTACCCCAATCCAAGAAGGAAGATTTTTCTTTTTTCTTTTTTTTGGACAGTCTTGCTATGTCGCCCAGGCTGAAGTGTGGTGGCGCGATCCCGGCTCACTGCAACCTCTGCCTCCCAGGTTCGAGTGATTCTCCTGCCTCAGCCTCCCAAGTAGCTGGGATTACAGGTGCATGCCACCATGCATGATTAATTTTTGTAGTTTTAGCAGAGACGGGGTTTCACCATGTTGGCCAGGCTGGTCTTGAACTCCTGACCTCAAGTGATCCACCTGCTTGGCCTCCCAAAGTGCTGGGATTACAGGCATGAGCCACCGCACCCATCCTGGAAGATTTTTCTGAATTTACACCGTTAACAGAGAAAAACAAACAAACAAACAAAAACAATGTGCCTCACTGCTTCTTTCTCCCATGGAGTCAATTTCCTGTCTCATTCCAAGGACCTTGATTCAATTCTTGACCAGATACACAAGTGCACGAGACCCACAATAGATATGCTCCAGCCCAGAGTGGGTTCATTATATTATTTGCACACTTTTGAGGAAATACTGGACTCTTCTTTCACATAGCATGGAACATAGCAACTAGAGGCATTGTAATAGTTCTGCCTCAAGTGAATTAGAGAAAATAGAACCCAAGCAATGTTTAAAACTGAATAATCATATTCTCACCAATGCCCTAATGAATGTATAAAGAAATTGAACTAGTCAATTGAATTAATTGCAGGAGGCAAGTTCCCTTAAAAGCAAATGAATTTATTCAACTAATTTGTGCTCTCTCTCTCTCTATTTTGACTTAAGATGGAAACTGATTAGAAAAGATATCTGTTTCTAGTATTCCCACCTGGATGGATAAAAGGAAGTCTGACTAATATGTCTTATACCGAATCTGATAACAGCTAATTGCCTGGGATACAAAGTTTCTGCTTATATCTTTCTTAAAATAACTCATGACTTTGATATGTTTTATTTCAGCTAATCTCTGAAACATTGTTGACTTTTTAAGTCTTTTCCCCCAACAGAAAACAAAGAACTCATGAAGGATATTGGTGATAGACACTACATCATAATTAAAGTCTATCCATAAAGTCATACCATTATTACTATTTGGCTGTATTTTGAAAAAATCAGTTCTGAGATACAAGATTTTTCACTTTATATGTTGTTCAGTTACTTTTTGTTTGGTTTTTATGAAAGATCTACATGCAGTGGTGGTGTGGGTGGGTGGGTGGATGGGTTTAGGTTAAGGACACAGTGTCAGGATTTTGCAATTTGAGTTCTTAATATTGCATAAAGAGGAAAAAAGCAGAGGTAGCTAAGGAACTTTAGCATTGGTGCAGGTAGACTCATATAAGGGTAGAAACAGAAAGAGCTTTAGAGATTCTCTATATAGTGGATTGCAAACTATGACCAACGGGCCAAATGTAGCCTGTCAGTAAAATTACATGGCCCAGGAGCTAAGAATGATTTTTACAGGTGAACATATGCAATAAATTTGATGATAGGAAACATTAACTTTGAGCCCAAACTCAGCAAAGCCTATCTGCCTTAAAAAGGTTTTCATTCTTCTCATTAGTAGACCTATATTGCCAGAACAAGTCTTTACTATTATTATATTTAAATTATATTAATAAAATTTATTTTCTTTCTATATAAATACCTATATAATATCCTTGATTTTGCTTCCTGGCACATACAGCCTAAAATATTACTATCTGGCCCCTTAAAAGGTTTTCTGACCTAGTACAGTGCTTTTCAAATGTTATCATGGGTAAAAAACACATGGAAGGCTTGTTAAATCACAGATATCTTGGTCACATATGCAATTTTGAATTCAGATTGCTTGGTGCAGGGCCTGAGAATTTGCATTTCTAACAAGGTCCCAGGCGATGGTAATGCTGCTAGTCCTGGCAGCACATGCTGAGAACTCCTGGGCTACATCAATCTCTACATTGGAGGGAATTGGGGCCAATACGTTATGTCACTCACTCCGTGTCACACCTGTAAGGTATCAGAATTATATTTCAGATACAGCTTTTGGCTTCAGATTTAGAGTTCTTTTTAGTAGAACAAAACTTGTATTGGCCTAATGAATTCCATATAAACTTGCAACGAATTAAGAAAGAAAATCCAAATTGAAATCTATTTGTCTGTAGAATGATGCCTCAAGGGTAAAAACCCTATCATTTTATAGGCTTAATGACTTTTGAAAGATGTTTTGAAGGACACATTAAGCAGCCATGAATCTGTTCTTAAATTCATCAGGCTGTATGCAACATGCATCTGGCCCCAAATCAATAAGAAGACCATGGGGAAAATACCTATGCAGTGAGTTCTACGTGGCAGCTTATTAATCTAATGAGGCTATTCTACACTGCTGTCAACAAAATCACCAACTTGTCCATCGTATCTCATTCTCATAAAGTCATTTCTCATTCACTAAATAAACCCTCTGAAGAAATATGAGATTGATGGAAAAAAGGCCTTTAAAAATCTAGCTTGGTAATTTTGCCAGGAGGTATTTTTGCAATTATATTTCACAAAGTGTGTGGTCTGAGTCTTGACATATTAAATTCAAATTTCCCTTTTTTTTGCTTAGAAATGAAAAAAGTGAAATTAGCTCATCCATTGTAATGACATAAACTTAAGACCTCCACCCTTTCCCCATAAAATTAGACAATTTGGGGAGAATGACATCAGCAAAATGGCCACTGAGAAGCCCCTAGCACCTATCCCCTCCCCAAAGACAGTCAAAACCATGAATAAATAATTACATTTCGATGAAAATAACCAAAAGAGAGCACTGGAGCATGTAAAAATAGTTTTATAGTGCACTGAAACCCAGGAAGGCCACCTAGAGAACAGAAGGAAACACTCTACCTCTACCACTCTATCTCCCAGTTGGGATCGACTGAGAACTAGCAGCAACTTCTCCTTGCAGGGAAAAGGTAAGCAAGAAGCCAGCAGCCCCCATAACCACCTTGGACACCTACAGTCCTCACCACTGGGGACTTCTGCAGTTTTCATAGGGACTGATTCCAGTTGAGGGAGCTGCCTCGAGTCCATATGGCTGTGTTCCTCCTAAGAGGGAACTGACGCTATGTCCTAGCCCCCATGAGCCATACAGCTACTGAGCTGCACCACTGTAAACTCAGAGCCATTGCTGGAATGCATCTTGCTCTGAGGGCAAGTAGTCGTAGCATCTGTCAATCCCTGAGGTCTTGTCACCACTGAACTACCTCTGCCTGATAGCCAGCCTTCACTAAGCCAGTCTGCTACTATGCCCTACCTCGTGAGGTCAATTTGTCACAGAGCTGGTCCATCTACCCCTACCAGTAACTGTTGCATTTGTCCATCGGCCTGAGCTAAAGCAGTACATTGCCTTCTAGAAAACCGATGCCTTGGCTGAGCTGAGTAGCCATGCATCCACGGCTGAGCTGACATGGTACTCTGAGGACCTGAAAAACAGGGCAGAGGTGGAGCTGGGACAGCCCAGCCCTACAGGCAAAACAACAGACTCTAGGGGGCTAGTCCACTGAGAGTCTGGGATTACCACAGTGTTCCACCATCTGAGGGGCCAGAGTCACTACTACGGAGTGCACTATATGGTGGGAGCTGAGCTGGACTCTGCTCTATTGGTTCTATTGCAATAGTACGCTGCTCCCCAGGACAAAGCCTCCAAAACACCACTTCCTCCTTAGAGTTGGGCCAGTGCTGTGTCCTTCTCCCACAGGATCATATTCATAGCTACAACCCATTTTTTGGGCCCCTACTCTAGAGCGTGCCTCAGAATCACCGTCCTTGGCTTTTTGGACATTTTACATCCAATTCTTCCTTGGAGAATGAAGCTGCACCACAAGACCCAGGTGGCAAAGTCTCTTTATGAGAACCTGACCCCAGGGTCTTGAGTCTATAGCAGCTCTGAGTACCTGTGCTCTGGAGCCCAGAGCTCCTGCAGCAGCTTGTGGGCTGTGTCAGACCTGATACCAAGAGGATCATTCTGAGCTAAAACTCCACATTATGGGGAAAATGAGAAAAGGAGAACTGCCAAAGCCCTTGTCACTAAGCACCCCAACAACCTACACTGCCACTGCCACGAACTTCTGCAGCGTAGGCCACCCATAGTCATGCTAACAAACATTGACCAAAGCTGAAGAAGCTGAATGGAAGCTGTACCCCTTCATCTACTCAGAATCAGCCACCATGGCCTTCCCAACTGGTACATTAAGATCCATCTGCAGATAAAAATCATTCATGTGAAGGACACTCTATAAAGTTTGGAAGAGATGATTGTTCTACCAATGCACAGACATCAGTGTAGGGACACAAGAAACATGAAAAAGCAAGGGAACATGATATCATCAAAAGAATAAAATAATTCTCCAGTAATTGACCCAAAAGAAAAATAAACTTATGAGTTGCCTGAAAATGAATTAAAAAATAATTTGTAAGAAACTCACTGACATACAAGAGAATACAGATAGACAATTCAACAATATCAGAAAAACAATCCAGGATCAAATGAGAAATTTAATAAAGAGATGGATATCATAAAAAAAAAGGAAACAGAAATCTTGGGGCTAAAGAATTCATTGAATGAAATAAAAATAAAACACAGAGCTTCAACAGAAGACTAGATTAAGCAGAAGAAAGAATCTCTAACTTGAAAAAGGTCTTTTGAAAAGAAGAAAGAATCTCTAACTTGAAAAAGGTCTTTTGAAATTACCCAATAAGAGAAAAAAAGAAAACAATGAAGAAGAGTGAAGACAAACTATGAAACTTATGAAATACTAGTAAGTGAACAAATATTTGCATTGTAGGCATTTCGTGAGAAGAGACAAAGATGGAAAAAGAATGCTTATTTAATAATAAAAATGCTGAAATCTTCCAAAGTCTTGGAAGAGATATGGACATCCAGATACATGGGGCTCAAAAGACTCCAGACATGTTCAACTTGAAGAGGTCCTGACATACATTATAATTAAATTGTCAAAATCAAAGATGAGATAATTTTAAAAGCAGTGAGAGAAAAGCAACGAGTCACATATAAGAAAATCTTTGTTAGACAAATGTAGTGCTGTATTTTTATTCCTTTTTCTTTACCATTTATGTATGTTATAGTTTTCTACTTTGTGTTACCATGAGGCTTACATAAACCTTCTTATAGTTATTATAGACTACTTTACACTGATAACGTAACTTCCGTCACATAAAAAAACTCTAGGCCCTCCCCTCACACAATTTATACTTTGATCTCACAATTTACATATTTTATATTATGTATTTCTTAATCACTTATTGTCACTGTCATTATTTTTGACTGATTTTTTTTTAGCCTTCATACTAGAGATATATATGATAGAGCATCATAACAGTATTAGAGTATGCTGGATTTGACTATATAATTACCTTTACTAGTAACTTTTATACTTCCATGTGTTTTCATATTATTAATTAGTGTTCTTTTTTTTTTCTATTTGAAGGACTCCCTTAAGCATTTCTTCTAAGGCACATCCAGTGGTGATAATTTCCATCAACTTTACATGTCTGAGGCTTTATTTCTCTTTTATTTCTGAAGGACAGTTTTGCTGGGTATAATATTCTCAGCTGCCAGGTTTTCTTTTTCTCTTTCAGCACATTTTCTCCTAGCTCACAAGATTTCTGTGGGGAAAGCTGCTAGAAGATAACCAAATCTCGGAGATAAAGAACAATAAAGAATGCAAGGAACAAAAGATCTACAAAATGACCAGGAAACAATTAACAAAATGCCAGTAGTAAGCCCTTATCTATCAATAATTACTTTAATGTAAATGGATTACATTCTACCATCAAAATACATAGAGTGGTTGAATGAATACTAAAATAAGATCTGAGTATATGCTGCTACAAGAGACCTACTTTAGCATTAAGGACACAAATAGGCTGAAAGTGAAGAGATGGAAGATACTCCATGCAAATCCTAGCCAAATGAGAACAAGGATGACTCTACTTATATCAAATAAAATAGACTTTGAATTAAAGACACCAGAAAATAGGTAATGATTTCTTTGTCTTAAAGTCACAAGAAACGTAACAGGTCATTATTTAATGATAGAGGGCTCTATTCCTCAAGAGGGCGTAACAATTATAAATATATATACATCCAACATTGATGCACCTAAATATACAAAGCAAAAATTAATGGAGCCAGGCACAGAGGGGCATTCCTATAGGCCCATCTACTTGTGAGGCTAAGGCAGAGAATTGCTTGAGCCCAGAAGTTTGATGTTACAGTGTGCTATAATTATGCCTGCAAATAGCCACTGCACCCCAGCCTGAGCAACACAGTGAGAATCTGCCTCTATAAAAATGAATATGGAAGGAGAAATAGGCTTAACACATATATATAGAACTTTCCAGCAAGATACACATTCTTCTTTAGTGCACATAAAACAAGATAGACCACTTGGTAGGCCGCAAAACAACCCTTATATAATTTAAGAAGATCTAAATCATATCAAGTATTATTTCTGACCACAATGGTATGAAACTAGAAATCTCTAAGAGGAAGAATTTTGGAAAATTCACAAATATGTGGAAATTAAACAATATGCTTCTGAACAATGAATGGGTCAAAGAAGAATTAAAAGGAAAAGTTTAAAATATATCTTGAAACAAACAATAATAGAAATGCAACAAATCAAAACCTATGGGATACAGCAAAAGCAGTTCTAAGGGGGAAGTTTATAGCAACAAATATATTAAGAAGAGCAATCTCAAATAAATAGTTTAATATTACACCTCAAAAAGCCAAAAAATAAAGATCAAACTAAACCCAAAGTCAGCAGAGGGAAGGCAATAATAAAAATCGAAACAAAAGTAAATCAAACAGATGAAAGAAAAATCATAGGAAAAAAATCAATAGAACAGATGGTTTTTGAAAAAAAAAATTGAAAAACTCTTAGCCAGAATAAAAAAAACAAGTCTTAAATATGTAAAATCAGAAATGAAGGTGGAGACACTACAACAGACACCACAGAAAAGAAAGGATCATAAGAGACTATTATGAAAAATTGCATGTGAAGATATTTGATAACCTAGATGAAATGAACAAATTCCTAGAAAAATACAATCTAACAAGGTTGAATAAGGAAGACATATAAATCTGAACAGTCCAATAACAAAGACATTAAAGTAATAATTAAAAACTTCTTGATAAAAGCACAAAATCAAATGGCATTAGGGCCTAATTCTACCAACCTTTCAAAGGAAAAGTGATACCAATATTTCTTTAACTCCTCCAAAGAAATACATTTGAAGCAAATACTTCCTAACAAATTTTGCAAGATCAGTATTACCTTCTTACCTAAACCAGACAAAGACACCATAAGAAAATAAACTATAGGCCAAATATCACTGATGAACATCAATGCAAAAATTCTCAATAAAAAAGATTGTCCATTACAAACAAGTGGCATTTAATCCTGGTATGCAAGACAGATTTAACATGTGCAAATCAGTCAATGTTATACATCACACTAATATATTGAAAAACAAAACCACACGATCATATCAATTGATGCAGAAAAAGCATTTACCAAAGTTTGACATCCTTTCTTGATAAAAACTCTTAACTGTTTAGGTGTAAAGGAAAGTTTCTCACTATAATAAAGGCTATTTATGAAGAACCCACAGATGACATCATAATCAATAAGGAGATACTGAAAACTTTTCTTCTAAGATCTGGTACAATGCATGAGGATGCTCATTTTCACCACTTCTATTCACCATAGTACTGGAAATACTATCAAGAGTAATTAGACAAGAAAAAGAAATAAAAGATATTTAAATCAGAAAGGAAAAATAAAAGTATCTGTATTTGCAGATGATATGAACCTATGTATAGAGAGCCCTAAAGACTCCACCAAAAAACTGTTCAACCCAATAAATTAATTCAGTGAAATTGCAGGACATAAAATCAACATATAAAAATCTATGGCATTTGTATAGACAAACAATGACTAGCCAAAAACAAATCAAGAAAACAATCTCATTTATCATAGTATAAAACATAATCAGGAATAAATTTAACCAAGTTGAAAAACTGAAAACTATAAAATGTTAATGAAAAAAAGGGAACACAAATTAATGGAAAGATATCCCATTGCTCCTGAATAAAAAAGTAGTGTCTTAAATGTTGATAATACATAAAGTAATATATAGATCCAATGCCATGCTTATCAAAATCCCAGTGGAATCTTCACAGAAATAGATAAAACAATCCAATAATTTGTATGAAACCATAAAGACCCTGAATAGCCAAGCAATTCTGAAAAAAAAAATGGAGGTATTACCCTTACTGATTTAAAATTATATTACACAGCTATCTATAGAAAGCAAATAGTATGGTACTGGCATAAAAACAGACAAACAGACCAGTGGACCAGTGGGATAGAGTAGAAAGTCCGGAAATAGTCCAAACATACATGGTCAACTAATATTATTTCATGACAGCACCAAAAAAAAAAAAAAAAAAAAAAAAACCGCAATGGGAAAAGGATATTCTCTGGAAAAACTGGATTTCCTCATCTGAAAATAAACCAATGAAATTGGACCCTTCTTTTACACCATACACAAAAATCAACTCAAAATGGATAAAAGACCTACATATGAGACTGGAAATCATAAAACTCCTAGATGAAAATATAGGCGAAATCCCCTTGACACTGGTCTTGGCAATGATTTCTTGGATATCACACAAAAAACTCAGGAAACACATTCCCATGTAATTTCTGAATTATTATTTTTTACAGGTAAAGGAGAAAACCATAACTTAATAAAACGAGAAGAGAAATGGGATTATTTTAAGGAGTATAATCTTGAAAATAAATATAAACACAAGTGACGTCAGCTCATCTTCTGGCTAAATGGCTATAACAGCCAAAGAATGGCCACTCTATGTTCAGATAAATTGTAATTCATAATTTTCGGCCCATGATAATAGTAATCACACATTTTTTCCCACATACTATATAACAGAAAATATTCTTTTTTTTATTATTATTATACTTTAAGTTTTAGGGTACATGTGCACATTGTGCAGGTTAGTTACATACGTATACATGTGCCATGCTGGTGCGCTGCACCCACTAACTCGTCATCTAGCATTAGGTATATCTCCCAAAGCTATCCCTCCCCCCACCCCACAACAGTCCCCAGAGTGTGATGTTCCCCTTCCTGTGTCCATGTGATCTCATTGTTCAATTCCCACCTATGAATGAGAATATGTGGTGTTTGGTTTTTTGTTCTTGCGATAGTTTACTGAGAATGATGATTTCCAATTTCATCCATGTCCCTACAAAGGACATGAACTCATCATTTTTTATGGCTGCATAGTATTCCATGGTGTATATGTGCCACATTTTCTTAATCCAGTCTATCATTGTTGGACATTTGGGTTGGTTCCAAGACTTTGCTATTGTGAATAGTGCCACAATAAACATACGTGTGCATGTGTCTTTATAGCAGCATGATTTATAGTCCTTTGGGTATATACCCAGGAATGGCATGGCTGGGTCAAATGGTATTTCCAGTTCTAGATCCCTGAGGAATCGCCACACTGACTTCCACAATGGTTGAACTAGTTTACAGTCCCACCAACAGTGTAAAAGTGTTCCTATTTCTCCACATCCTCTCCAGCACCTGTTGTTTCCTGACTTTATAATGATTGCCATTCTAACTGGTGTGAGATGGTATCTCATTGTGGTTTTAATTTGCGTTTCTCTGATGGCCAGTGATGATGAGCATTTTTTCATGTGTCTTTTGGCTGCATAAATGTCTTCTTTTGAGAAGTGTCTGTTCATGTCCTTTGCCCACTTTTTGATGGGGTTGTTTGTTTTTTTCTTGTAAATTTGTTTAAGTTCATTGTAGATTCTGGATATTAGCCCTTTTTCAGATGAGTAGGATGCAAAAATTTTCTCCCATTTTGTAGGTTGCCTGTTCACTCTGATGGTAGTTTCTTTTGCTGTACAGAAGCTCTTTAGTTTAATTAGATCCCATTTGTCAATTTTGGCTTCTGTTGCCATTGCTTTTGGTGTTTTAGACACGAAGTCCTTGCCCATGCCTATGTCCTGAATGGTATTGCCTAGGTTTTCTTCCATGGTTTTTATGGTTTTAGGTCTAACATTTAAGTCTTTAATCCATCTTGAATTGATTTTTGTATAAGGTGTAAGGAAGGGATCCAGTTTCAGCTTTCTACATATGGCTAGCCAGTTTTCCCAGCACCATTTATTAAATACGAATCCTTTCCCCATTTCTTGTTTTTGTCAGGTTTCTCAAAGATCAGATAGTTGTAGATATGCGGCGTTATTTCAGAGGGCTCTGTTCTGTTCCATTGATCTATATCTCTGTTTTGGTACCAGTACCATGCTGTTTTGGTTACTGTAGCCTTGTAGTATAGTTTGAAGTCAGGTAGTGTGATGCCTCCAGCTTTGTTCTTTTGGCTTAGGATTGACTTGGCAATGCGGGCTCTTTTTTGGTTCCATATGAACTTTAAAATAGTTTTTTCCAATTCTGTGAAGAAAGGCATTGGTAGCTTGATGGGGATGGCATTGAATCTATAAATTACCTTGGGCAGTATGGCCATTTTCACGATATTGATTCTTCCTACCCATGAGCATGGAATGTTCTTCCATTTGTTTGTATCCTCTTTTATTTCCTTGAGCAGTGATTTGTAGTTCTCCTTGAAGAGGTCCTTCACATCCCTTGTAAGTTGGATTCCTAGGTATTTTATTCTCTTTGAAGCAATTGTGAATGGGAGTTCACTCATGATTTGGCTCTCTGTTTGTCTGTTGTTGGTGTATAAGAATGCTTGTGATTTTTGTACATTGATTTTGTATCCTGAGACTTTGCTGAAGTTGCTTATCAGCTTAAGGAGATTTTGGGCTGAGACAATGGGGTTTTCTAGATATACAATCATGTCGTCTGCAAACAGGGACAATTTGACTTCCTGTTTTCCTAATTGAATACCCTTTATTTCATTCTCCTGCCTGATTGCCCTGGCCAGAACTTCCAACACTATGTTGAATAGGAGTGGTGAGAGAGGGCATCCCTGTCTTGTGCCAGTTTTCAAAGGGAATGCTTCCAGTTTTTGTCCATTCAGTATGATATTGGCTGTGGGTTTGTCATAGATAGCTCTTATTATTTTTAAATATGTCCCATCAATACCTAATTTATTGAGAGTTTTTAGCATGAAGGGTTGTTGAATTTTGTCAAAGGCCTTTTCTGCATCTATTGAGATAATCATGTGGTTTTTGTCTTTGGCTCTGTTTATATGCTGGATTACATTTATTGATTTGCATATAATGAACCAGCCTTGCATCCCAGGGATGAAGCCCACTTGATCATGGTGGATAAGCTTTTTGATGTGCTGCTGGATTCGTTTTGCCAGTATTTTATTGAGGATTTTTGCATCAATGTTCATCAAGGATATTGGTCTAAAACTCTCTTTTTTGGTTGTGTCTCTGCCAGGCTTTGGTATCAGAATGATGCTGGCCTCATAAAATGAGTTAGGGAGGATTCCCTCTTTTCCTATTGATTGGAATAGTTTCAGAAGGAATGGTACCAGTTCCTCCTTGTACCTCTGGTAGAATTCGGCTGTGAATCCATCTGGTCCTGGACTCTTTTTGGTTGGTAAGCTATTGATTATTGCCACAATTTCAGATCCTGTTATTGGTCTATTCAGAGATTCAACTTCTTCCTGGTTTAGTCTTGGGAGAGTGTATGTGTCGAGGAATTTATCCATTTCTTCTAGATTTTCTAGTTTATTTGCGTAGAGGTGTTTGTAGTATTCTCTGATGGTAGTTTGTATTTCTGTGGGATCGGTGGTGATATCCCCTTTATCATTTTTTATTGTGTCTATTTGATTCTTCTCTCTTTTTTTCTTTATTAGTCTTGCTAGCAGTCTATCTATTTTGTTGATCCTTTCAAAAAACCAGCTCCTGGATTCATTGATTTTTTGAAGGGTTTTTTGTGTCTCCATTGCCTTCAGTTCTGCTCTGATTTTAGTTATTTCTTGCCTTCTGCTAGCTTTTGAATGTGTTTGCTCTTGCTTTTCTAGTTCTTTTAATTGTGATGTTAGGGTATCAATTTTGGATCTTTCCTGCTTTCTCTTGTGGGCATTTAGTGCTATAAATTTCCCTCTACACACTGCTTTGAATGCGTCCCAGAGATTCTGGTATGTTGTGTCTTTGTTCTCGTTGGTTTCAAAGAACATCTTTATTTCTGCCTTCATTTCGTTATGTACCCAGTAGTCATTCAGGAGCAGGTTGTTCAGTTTCCATGTAGTTGAGCGGCTTTGAGTGAGATTCTTAATCCTGAGTTCTAGTTTGATTGCACTGTGGTCTGAGAGATAGTTTGTTATAATTTCTGTTCTTTTACATTTGCTGAGGAGAGCTTTACTTCCAAGTATGTGGTCAGTTTTGGAATAGGTGTGGTGTGGTGCTGAAAAAATGTATATTCTGTTGATTTGGGGTGGAGAGTTCTGTAGATGTGTGTTAGGTCCGCTTGGTGCAGAGCTGAGTTCAATTCCTGGGTATCCTTGTTGACTTTCTGTCTCGTTGATCTGTCTAATGTTGACAGTGGGGTGTTAAAGTCTCCCATTATTAATGTGTGGGAGTCTAAGTCTCTTTGTAGGTCACTCTGGACTTGCTTTATGAATCTGGGTGCTCCTGTATTGGGTGCATATATATTTAGGATAGTTAGCTCTTCTTGTTGAATTGATTCCTTTACCATTATGTAATGGCCTTCTTTGTCTCTTTTGATCTTTGTTGGTTTAAAATCTGTTTTATCAGAGACTAGGATTGCAACCCCTGCCTTTTTTTGTTTTCCATTTGCTTGGTAGATCTTCCTCCATCCTTTTATTTTGAGCCTATGTGTGTCTCTGCACGTGAGATGGGTTTCCTGAATACAGCACACTGTTGGGTCTTGACTCTTTATCCAATTTGCCAGTTTGTGTCTTTTAATTGGAGCATTTAGTCCATTTACATTTAAAGTTAATATTGTTATGTGTGAATTTGATCCTGTCATTATGATGTTAGCTGGTGATTTCGCTCATTAGTTGATGCAGTTTCTTCCTATTCTTGATGGTCTTTACATTTTGGCATGATTTTGCAGTAGTTGGTACCGTTTGTGCATTTCCATGTTTAGCGCTTCCTTCAGGAGCTCTTTTAGGGCAGGCCTGGTGGTGAGAAAATCTCTCAGCATTTGCTTGTCTGTAAAATATTTTATTTCTCCTTCACTTATGAAGCTTAGTTTGGCTGGATATGAAATTCTGGGTTGAAAATTCTTGTCTTTAAGAATGTTGAATATTGGCCCCCACTCTCTTCTGGCTTGTAGGGTTTCTGCCGAGAGATCCGCTGTTAGTCTGACGGGCTTCCATTTGAGGTTAACCCGACCTTTCTCTCTGGCTGCCTTTAACATTTTTTCCTTCATTTCAACTTTGGTGAATCTGACAATTATGTGTCTTGGAGTTGCTCTTCTTGAGGAGTATCTTTGTGGCGTTCTCTGTATTTCCTGAATCTGAACGTTGGCCTGCTTGCTAGATTGGGGAAGTTCTCCTGGATAATATCCTGCAGAGTGTTTTCCAACTTGGTTCCATTCTCCCTGTCACTTTCAGGTATACCAATCAGACGTAGATTTGGTCTTTTCACATAGTCCCATATTTCTTGGAGGCTTTGCTCATTTCTTTTTATTCTTTTTTTTTCTAAACTTCCCTTCTCGCTTCATTTCATTCATTTCATCTTCCATTGCTGATACCTTTCTTCCAGTTGATCGCATCGGCTCCTGAGGTTTCTGCATTCTTCACGTAGTTCTCGAGCCTTGGTTTTCAGCTCCATCAGCTCCTTTAAGCACTTCTTTGTATTGGTTATTCTAGTTATACATTCTTCTAAATTTTTTTCAAAGTTTTCAACTTCTTTGCCTTTGGTTTGAATGTCCTCCCATAGCTCAGAGTAATTTGATCGTCTGAAGCCTTCTTCTCTCAGCTCATCAAAGTCATTCTCCGTCCAGCTTTGTTCCCTTGCTGGTGAGGAACTGCATTCCTTTGGAGGAGGAGAGGTGCTCTGCTCTTTAGAGTTTCCAGTTTTTCTGTTCTGTTTTTTCCCCATCTTTGTGGTTTTATCTACTTTTGGTCTTTGATGATGGTGATGTACAGATGGGTTTTTGGTGTGGATGTCCTTTCTGTTTTCCTTCTAACAGACAGGACCCTCAGCTGCAGGTCTGTTGGAGTACCCTGCCGTGTGAGGTGTCAGTGTGCCCCTGCTGGGGGGTGCCTCCCAGTTAGGCTGCTCGGGGGTCAGGGGTCAGGGACCCACTTTAGGAGGCAGTCTGCCCATTCTCAGATCTCCAGCTGAGTGCTGGGAGAACCACTGCTCTCTTCAAAGCTGTCAGAGGGACATTTAAGTCTGCAGAGGTTACTGCTGTCTTTTTGTTTGTCTGTGCCCTGCCCCCAGAGGTGGAGCCTACAGAGGCAGGCAGGCCTCCCTGAGCTGTGGTGGGCTCCACCCAGTTCGAGCTTCCTGGCTGCTTTGTTTGCCTAAGCAAGCCTGGGCAATGGTATGCGCCCCTCCCCCAGCCTCACTGCCGCCTTGCAGTTTGATCTCAGACTGCTGTGCTAGCAATCAGCGAGACTCCCTGGGCGTAGGTCCCTCCGAGCCAGGTGCAGGATATAATCTCGTGGTGCGCTGTTTTTTAAGCCCGTTGGAAAAGTGCAGTATTCGGGTGGAAGTGACCCGATTTTCCAGGTGCCCTCCGTCACCCCTTTCTTTGACTAGGAAAGGGAACTCCCTGACCCCTTGCGCTTCCCGAATGAGGCAATGCCTCACCCTGCTTCAGCTCGCGCACGGTGCGCGCACCCACTGACCTGCGCCCACTGTCTGGCACTCCCTAGTGAGATGAACCCGGTACCTCAGATGGAAATGCAGAAATCACCCGTCTTCTGCGTCGCTCACGCTGGGAGCTGTAGACCGGAGCTATTCCTATTCGGCCATCTTGGCTCCTCCCCCCATCCAGAAAATATTCTTAGCACTCTTTTTTACCTTTACAACAATTCCATCAACTTAGTGCAATTACTATTTCCATTGTCTCTACAAGCAATGGGAAAAATCAGAAATTAGGCTAATTTTACTCTAAAGCATTGGTTCTGAAGAGGACCAGAGCATTTTGTCCCCCAGGGATCATTTGTCAATGTCTGGAGATACTTTGGATTGTCACAAAACTGTGGGAGAAGCAGTGTGGATGACATCTAGTTGGTAGAAGTCAGGGATAGGGCTAAACTTCCTGCAAAGCACAGGACACTGTGACGCAAATGCTAACACACACACGGACACACTCCACGTATTTGTTTCGAAATGTCAGTATGGTAATGCCAAGTTTGAGAAACTCTGCTCTAGAGTTCTTGCTTTTTTTTTTTTTCAAGGTTCTCATTCCTCTTTATTTAAATCTGTAAAGCAAAGTGGCAAATTAAAACAGATACTATTATATTCAATTCATAACATAATTAGATACAAATGAAAACTTTTTTTTACAAGGTAACAAAGTAACTGAAAACGAGTAGATCCAGCGCAAGTGAAACAATGTAACCATCTTGAGGCAATAACCTAGTTGGCCACTGTTGTGAAAACGGAAAATGGGAGAAACACATAGATTGACTTAACTATGGGGCTGCAAACTTAATGTTTTAAGTCATGTCCCTCATACGCTAAGTATTGAAGTGTTTTTATTTTTTATTTTTTTTTATACTTTAAGTTCTAGGGTACATGTGCACAACGTGCAGGTTTGTTACATATGTATACATGTGCCATGTTGCTGTGCTGCACCCATTAACTCGTCATTTACATTAGGTATATCTTCTACTGCTATCCCTCCCCCCTCCCCCAACCCCACAACAGGCCCTGGTGTGTGATGTTCCCCACTGCACAATTTAGAAGGACCAAGACTCATGTGTTACCGAAAGGTACTTGATGTATAAGTGCAGCTGCTGCTAATGAACTCATTCATCTCTGCTTTGAGCTGGAGAATTCTTCCTGCATTTGTTGGACTGGCACATTCCAAGACTTGCTTCTTTAAGTTAATTGTGCATCTTAATTCTAGATTCCAGAACTGGAGAAACTTAGAACAAAATAAGATTTTATGAGGTTGGAAGGTTTTTTTTTTTTTTTTTTTTTTTTTTTTTTTTAAATGTTTCTGGATGACCAAAGGTTTTCTCCAAAACTGTTCTTACGTAGGTACCTTTTCAAATGTTTCCACACATTGTCACAGGCAAAAAACAATTTTCTTTCTCTAGTTCAGTCTTTGGAAAGCCTTAGCTCCCAGTTGGTAGAAAATGTCTACATCTTAAATTGGACTTCTAATAAAGGATGAATTGTGTTATGGTTTAGTAAAAAGGTTTATATATATCAATTTTTCATGAACAGTACATTTTGTGCCTCATTATACACTAGAGGTGCTGTTTTATACTACAAGCATGCCTATTTTAAACAATGGATGAAAATAAAAATCCTAGAACAATGTACGTGATAACAATTTTCCTCATTCTTTTTTGTTTCTATAGAAATGCTTTTAGTGTGGGAGTGTTATGGATATAGCACTGTTGAAGGCCAGAAAACATACATATCATACTTGACTATAAACAAAAAACATGATGGGTTAGCTAATAGCTCAGGTCTCTGAGAGGGAAGATACAATTACATGACTCTCCACGCAGCCTTTGCATTGTTTTGAAGTTTGTGCTTAACTCAGAATGAACTGAATTTAAGAATTAACCCTCTTTTGGATGACAGGTTAAATTCTGAGCCTGAATTATTAACATACAAGTGTAGAAAATAGTGTAACTACCAGGAGTAGGGCATTCAATCAGTAGCTGAGAGCTCTAAGGAAGTACAGACGGGAGATAATTCATAAGGACAATTTCCTTTTCTGTACACTAGAAGTTGATAGCTGCACATAATCTATTTTCTTTTTTCTTATGCCTCTTCAGGCTTATTGTCCTCTCATTTTCTCCTTTTTCTGCCCTGTTTTTCATTTTTTTTCTTTTCCTCTTCCAGCATTGTCTTTTCTCTTCAATAATAGTATTTTAAGAAGATTTAACCCCAAAACGGAAAACAGAATGATAGAGTTCACTTATATATAATGAAATTTACATAAAATATCAAGAGAGACAAGACAAAAATGTGCATATTTCTGTAGAGTATCATCACAGATTGAAGACATAATCAGTTTTCTTACAGTTTACAAAATGATTGCGAGAAAACTTTTTTTTCTAGAGTCTTGGGAATTAGCATTAATAGGACTCTACCTTTTATGACTTCTCACACAGTGTGAGAAAAATAGGCTTAAAATATTAAATATTCAAAAATTGAAAACATCATTATGCAGACACTTATTCAAATGCTCCATTAGGAGTATTCTTGTTCAGCCTACCTTTTCTGTCTGTGGGTAGAACTGGAAAAATATTCAGTCCAACTTCATTACTGGTGGCAGTTATCAAGCTGCATAGCTCAGTGAACCAGCCTCTGGCTGGGAGAGAAACAGTTTGGTTCAGATACTTCTACTATAACATTCCCATTGATTTTAGTGTGCAGAGAAGTTTGCCCTCTAATTTTTTGCAACTCCCTATTTTGTTCATTCATGACCATGACAAAGATAAGCTACATTCTCTGAATAAGTCTTTTCTTTTTAATTTTAATTGTACAAATTAGCGGGTCTATGAACTGTAGATGTCTTTCAGCATAACTACAAATTGTTGTACTCTCCATTCATGCACCTCCTGCATTTTATTGAATTAAAATTATAGTAGATATGCAATTGAAAGATGTTATGGAAAACCATGTGTCAGGCAACAGAAGCATATTATTATTGATGTGTACTCATATATACTTTAAAAACATTAAAAAGGTTTGTCAGAATCAATCACCTCCATCGTCTTAATAATCACATTTAAATGATATATTCATTTAATTCCATCAAAAAATCAAACAGAATACTATCAATATAACTAGCCATTTTACAGTTATTGTGAAACATAAAATAGCATACTTTTTTTTCCGGATGAACTATTTTCTCATAATCACAAACAATGAAAGTTTATTGTATATAGTGACTTTTATGTAGTCATTAATACAACATGATTTACCAAACTTCAACCTATATTAAAAATACCTAGCAATGATGTAAAACATTATATTATACATAATATATTGAAAAAATGGCTCAATTAATTGCTAAAATATGCTTTTTAAGCAATAAGCAAACTCTGCCAAATTTGTTTGGATTTTACCTATTTCGTCTAAATAAGCTATGTTATTAATTTTGGTTTCCTGGTGACACTTAAAAATCCACTAAGTACATTAAAATATCTGAGAATGTAAGAGTAGTCCCAGAGTAGATCAGTGTATTCTTGTCTGGCCAAGAACTCCAAAATATATCTTGAATGGTACCTACAAACAATGATTCAAGTGCTCTAAAACTGTTTCTGAAAAGTAGATACAGAACTGAAGTGTTAAACACAGAAACTGATATTCTTTTGATTAAAGTGGTATTCACAATTTCATTAGAAAAGATAAAATCAAGATTCTCATAACTTGTATTCATTCATCCCTTTTCATCCATACACTAAAGCATTCAGCAAATAATTAAATGTCTACTCCAGAGAAATAATGTATGAGGTGCTTAAAATTGTATCATATTTATAAATGTAATGCAGAAAAAGGATATTTCTATTAACAATTAAAAAAAGGAGTATTCATTTTAAATAAAAATGTACTTCAAAGTAAGCTCTTTATATTTTAAACAAAAAACAACTATTTGTATATGTTTAAGTGTTCTCAGGCTTCAGAAAAATTATTTAGAATAAAATGACAGGCCAGGTGCCGTGGCTCACACCTGTAATCCCAGCACTTTGGGAGGCCGAGGCAGGTGGATCACAAGGTCAGGAGTTCAAGACCAGCCTGGCCAAGATGGTGAAACCCCGTCTCTACAAAAAAATTACAAACAATTAGCAGGGCGCCTGTAATACCAGCTACTCAGGAGGCTGAGGCAGAGAATTGCTTAACCTGGGAGGCAGAGGTTGCAGTGAGCCGAGATCATGCCACTGCACTCCAGCCTGGGTGACAGAGCGAGACTCCATCTCAAAATAATAATAATAATAATAATAATAATAATAATAATAAAATAAAATGCAGATGTCAGTTTCTCCATGTTTTTAGTCCAAAATAATCTTTGTCTTACATTATTACTACTTTAATTATTATGATGTATATCAAACTACCGTAAGTACTGAGTTCATACTCCATGATTTAAACTCAGGGACAAACTGGCAACATACTATTTTTCATTCACCATTTTTAGACCTGTTTCTTGTAGTCTTATAAGGTAGATCAGTAAAGCATATCATATTAAAACTTATTTTCAACAAGAACCCTTTTTTGCATATTCATATAATTCACAGACTACCTCAGGCCATCATCGTTTGGGTTATTCAAAGAAAACTGACGTTATTAAATGTACATATATATGTATAATTTTTAACTGTGGAAAATAATCTGCAGTCAAAGTGGCTTTACATCTTATGTATGATATCACTGGCATATATTTTGGTTGAGCTACAAGCTTCTAAAAAGGATTTATAGCAGAAATGCTTATAACCTCTTAAGTATGGCACTGGGAACAGCAATATGATAATATATTGTAGCAGTAAATGCCCAATCAATAGCAGCTCATTAAAGTCAGAAGCATCAATTTAATCAGGGAGAATCTACATGTTTTCAATGGTCAGTGGAAGGTCTTGTCCATCAATGTCTAGTTCAATTCTTAGGTTGCATCTGACAAGTTACAATGGGTTTCGTTAAGAGACTTGTGTGCAAGCTAATGTGGAGGCAATTTGTCATTTTAATATATGATCAATACAATCCATAACCAGTATTCAGACTCATTTACTAAAGGAGAGAGGAGGAGGTCAATGCATACCCCCAGTGACTTGCTTATTATTTTCCACAGTTTTCACTCATGCTCTCTCCTTAAAACATAAAATGACTTCTCTTTCTACAAGATAAAACTAAATATAACCACTCATTGGCTGAAGTAAACTGTTATGGATTTGTTCTCTGATTTTTTTTCTTATTAATTTCTTTTATCTCTGGCTTAAAGGAATAATGCAAGAGAATACCACTGGTCTTAAGCAATGACAATGCTTTAAGTCCTTTAAAACGATTTCCTCATCTGTAAAATGGGGATAAAATAACTTACCTTGTGCATATAGAGCACAAATAACCGTTAGGCCAATTTACAAAAATACTAAAAATGGATATGTCAGTGGGGAATATTCAATTCATGTATGGTCATGCACCACATAATGACGCTTTGGCTAACAATGGGCCACATATATGATAGTGGTCCCATAAGATTGTATAACTGTACCTTTACTGTACCTTTTCCATGTTTAGATACACAAATACCATTGTGTTACAATTGCCTGCGCTATGTAATGTAGTAACTTGCTGTATAGGTATGCATCCTAGGAGGAATAAGCTATACCATATACTTAAGTGTGCAATAGGTTACATCACCTAGGTTTGTGTAAGTACACTCTATAATGCTCACACATGACAAAATTGCCTAATGATGCATTTGTCAGAAAGTATCCCTGTTACCTAGCAAAGCATGACTGTATATGTTAATGAATCAAGGAGCCAAATCCTTCTATTTGTGAGAGTTTGAGATATCAATAAAGTTAAGAGATAAATACCTTTGTTTACATGAATGTTACCCACATCAGGATATTGTGTTGTCCTTAAAAATCTACGAAATCTATGAAGTTAAGGCCACTTCATAAAGTGTCATTAAACAATATTGTAAACTCTGATGAAGTTCAAAATGTATCTTGTGGTTTTTGATAGACACATTGGGTATTAGTGTTATCTTATGCAAACAGAAGGCAGACAGAGAAACCTGTATTAATTCCTTTGCATTGAGAGGCACCTACAGAGGGACTACTGAGAAGATGCATCATGCTCATGATTATTTACTGCAGGAATCACTTAGAATAAAATGCAACTAAAAATGAAACAGATGTAGGTGGTTCTAAAGAAAATATTGTTAATTCTCTAAATTTCCAAAAACCTTTCCTTATTACTTGAAAAGTCTCACTTGAAATTGTAGTGAACAAGATATATTTTGAAGTTGGTTGGCTTTGCAGAAAGACTGAAGCCAGAAATGATTTAATAATTAAAATTTTTAATGAAAATTGAGGTATCCCTTTGAAGCACCTTTTATAAAGCTACTTTACTGGCTTGGATTCATTCTTTTGCTCTTACCAAGTTAGATGTACAGCTGAATACTCCATTTTGAGGGAATGACTAGACGACAGGATGGGGCCCAATCTTACAGGTTTTGTTGGACTGGTTAAAATGAATATTCAAGAATGTGGGATTCACAAAAACAACTGATTAGATATAGCTAATTGATTAAATGTGTTTTCTGAAGGCTTGTGTTCATGAGTAAATTTTCCTTTAGAAACCTTTAATGCTTGAGCTCAAATTTATCGATAATACAATTCCATAAAAAGGAAAAAGAATAAATCATGTTATCCAATAATATAAGAAATGACTTAGTGAAAGCTACATAGAAAGTGAATTTTATGTTTAACTTGACATTTACAGAATCCATGTAGAGATGAAACTAATGTGATTTTGAAAATTTATTAGTTTCGAAATTTTGAAAAAAATGATTAGTATTTTACTTGTTAAATAATTAGCCTGGAGAATTTTAGAATTGCCTATTACTATTCTGGAATACCAAGAGCTAAGAACCTTATATTCATGATCAATGAAGTGAATAATAGTGGTAAGCAAGACTAGACAAGGACTTATAAGTAAATGCTATTTTACCCTAATGACCAGAGGACTCAGCTTGTTCAGAAAGGCAATGCCATCTGGAGTAGCAAGCTGGCTGGAGGGAAGGTTTCAGAACAATGCCAAGTATCTATAAAACATGGGAGTCCAAATTATGAGGAAAAGAAACATGCAATTATTTCAGAACTAAGCTTTACCAAGGGACCTTCTGTACCAGTGATTCCATAGGAATGGAATTCAAAAAAATTGTTTAGATGTGATGTAACATTTTCAAAAGTGCCAGGTGTGCTGTAGAAATGCACCCAGTGTGTTGGAAGTATCAGTGATGCTAAAATACAAAGAATTTGTGTTTTTTTGCTATGAGCATCTCAAAGCATGAATCATCATTTAGAAAATTTCCAAAAAGTAAAAAGACCCAAATTGTGTTTATATTGAACTAACAAAGTTCTGAATTGCTTTATACAAATTTTCCCATGTATATAACCAAAATATGAAATTTTGGGCTAAAATTTGAAAATGAATCCCAAATGTCAAAATGTTTTAAACAAATAAAGCATTCTAAATATTTCAATATATTATCACTCAAAATTTTTTATAATTTTACAGTTATTGATATGAATTATTATTACACATCAGAGGACACAATAAGGACTAGAGAAGGCAAGTCTCAGGTAACTTGCAGTACAAAATGAGGCAGTGGTAAACACAGTTATAAAGTCATCAACATGTATGAGGACATACAGTGGAATGGGTATCTCTGTCTACCTATCTATCCATCTGGCCATCTTTTAGTATAGCTATATATCTATATAAACTTACACTATATTTTCATCTAACTCAAAGGTTTGCTATAGTCAGAATTAGGCTTATTCTCTTCCCTAGATAATTCCTCACTCCCATCACCCACTGCTATAATTATGCTGCCATAAATTTTCAATTAGCGTTATTTCATCACTTTAATTGATTCCTTCAATATCTTTATTACTTTCAGTTTCTAAACATCACCTTATGGATCCCAGTTTTGCTCATTATCCTATCTCCTTGGCAGTTTCTTTTTAGATACCTCTGTGTGCTCCTGATACCTTTGTATTCTTAGGGTTCTATCTCATGTTCTGGTTTTTTTTTTTTTCCTGTATAGTCTTCCTAAAGTCAGTCTCATCTCCTGCTAAGACCTACATAACTATTTAAATTATATCAATTCCATAATCTTCAGCCTTGATCTCTTTCCTCAGTTCCAAATCGCTCTTATACCAGTCCAGTGATTACCTTCTATTGAATGGTTATAAACATCCTTCATGCCACATATCCAAAGGAATCTCATTACTTTTTCTCTCAGATATACTCCTGCTCTCACTTTCCCTATCTTGTAGATTTCAGCTCTATGTACATATTTTTTTTTTCCAAACCAGAAGGCTAAATGCTATTGCATCATTCTTCTCCATTCTCACATCTAAGCAATTACCAAATCCAGTGAACTTACTTTTGAAACCTCTCTGTCTACTTTCTATCTCACTGCCAGTAATCTAGAGGAGATGACCCTAATCTCTTTCCTGGGTTTTTGGTTTGTTGCAATTCCCTTCCCAATTCTTTGGATCCTCCCTGCCACTCCACCGCTGCCACCATTTTACTCACTGCACTGAGGCCAGGGATATTTATCAACTGCAAATTAGATCATGTTTCTCCTCTGTTTAAAGCTCTCTCCTTAAAGGACAGTGCAAGGCTGGTTCAACATATGCAAATCAATAAACGTAATCCAGCATATAAACAGAACCAAAGACAAAAACCACATGATTATCTCGATAGATGCAGAAAAGGCCTTTGACAAAATTCAACAGCCTTCATGTTAAAAACTCTCAATAAATTAGGTATTGATGGGACGAATATCAAAATAATAAGAGCTATTTATGAGAAACCCACAGCCAATATCATACTGAATGGACAAAAACTGGAAGCATTCTCTTTGAAAACTGGCACAAGACAGAGATGCCGTCTCTCACCACTCCTATTCAACATAGTGTTGGAAGTTCTGGCCAGGGCAATCAGGCAGGAGAAAGAAATAAAGGGTATTCAATTAGGAAAAGAGGAAGTCAAATTGTCCCCATTTGCAGATGACATGATTGTATATCTAGAAAACCCCATCGTCTCAGCCCAAAATCTCCTTAAGCTGCTAGGCAACTTCAGCAAAGTCTCAGGATACAAAATCAATGTGCAAAAATCACAAGCATTCTAATACACCAATAACAGACAAACAGAGAGCCAAATCATGAGTGAACTCCCATTCACAATTGCTTCAAAGAGAATAAAATACCTAGGAATCCAACTTACAAGGGATGTGAAGGACCTCTTCAAGGAGAACTACAAACCACTGCTCAATGAAATAAAAGAGGATACAAGTAAATGGAAGAACATTTCATGCTCATGGATAGGAAGAATCAATATCGTGAAAATGGCCATACTGCCCTAGGTAATTTAGAGATTCAATGCCATCCCTATCAAGCTAGCAATGACTTTCTTCACAGAATTGAAAAAAAAAACTACTTTAAAGTTCATGTGGAACCAAAAAAGAGCCTGCATCGCCAAGTCAATCCTAAGCCAAAAGAACAAAGCTGGAGGCATCACCCTACCTGACTTCAAACTATGCTACAAGGCTACAGTAATGAAAACAGCATGGTACTGGTACCAAAACAGAGATATAGATCAATGGAACAGAACAGAGCCCTCAGAAATAATGCCATACATCTACAACTATCTGATCTTTGACAAACCTGACAAAAACAAGAAATGGGGAAAGGATTCCCTATTTAATAAATGGTGCTGGGAAAACTGGCTAGCCATATGTAGAAAGCTGAAACTGGATCCCTTCCTTACACCTTATACAAAAATTAATTCAAGATGGATTAAAGACTTAAATGTCAGACCTAAACCCATAAAAACCCTGGAAGAAAACCTAGGTAATACCATTCAGGACATAGGCATGGGCAAGGACTTCGTGTCTAAAACACCAAAAGCAATGGCAACAAAGGCCAAAATTGACAAATGGGATCTAATTAAACTAAAGAGCTTCTGCACAGCAAAAGAAACTACCGTCAGAGTGAACAGGCAACCTACAACATGGGAGAAAATTTTTGCAATCTACTCATCTGACAAAGGGCTAATATCCAGAATCTACAAAGAACTCAAATTTACAAGAAAAAAACAAACAACCCCATGAAAAAGTGGGCAAAGGATATGAATAGACACTTCTCAAAAGAAGACATTTATGCAGCCAAAAGACACATGAAAAAATGCTCACCATCACTGGCCATCAGAGAAACACAAATCAAAACCACAATGAGATACCATCTCACACCAGTTAGAATGGCAATCATTAAAAAGTCAGGAAACAACAGGTGCTGGAGAGGATGTGGAGAAATAGGAACACTTTTACACTGTTGGTGGGACTGTAAACTAGTTCAACCATTGTGGAAGTCAGTGTGGCGATTCCTCAGGGATCTAGAACTAGAAATACCATTTGACCCAGCCATCCCATTACTGGGTATATACCCAAAGGACTATAAATCATGCTGCTATAAAGACACATGCACACGTATGTTTATTGTGGCAGTATTCACAATAGCAAAGACTTGGAACCAACCCAAATGTCCAACAATGATAGACTGGATTAAGAAAATGTGGCACATATACACCATGGAATACTATGCAGCCATAAAAAGGATGGGTTCATGTCCTTTGTAGGGACGTGGATGAAGCTGGAAACCATCATTCTCAGCAAACTATCTCAAGGAAAAAAACCAAACACCGCGTGTTCTTACTCATAGGCGGGAATTGAACAATGAGAACACTTGGACACAGGAAGGGGAACATCACACACCGGGGCCTGCTGTGGTGTAGGGGGAGAGGGGAGGGATAGCATTAGGAGATATACCTAATGTAAATGACGAGTTAATGGGTGCAGCACAGCAACATGGCACATGTATACATATGTAACAAACCTGCATATTGTGCACATGTACCCTAAAACTTAAAGTATAATAAAAAACAAAAAATATTTTAGCTTGGTATGTTTACTCCTAAAGTTGCCTTCCATTATTAATGCACTGTTTCAACCTGTTTTCTGGATAATTATAAACTGGATAATTTCTAAAGAAAAAGAATGGATTTCTTATAGTTATGAAGGCTGAGAAGGCCAAGTTTGAGGAGGCACATCTTATGAAAGCCTCCTTGTTCATGGGGACTCTCTGCAGAGTCCCAGGAAAGCTCAGAGCCTCCCACGGCAAAGGGTCTGCCTGAATACATTAATGTGATTGCTCAATTCTCTCTTCCTTGACTTATAAAGCAACCAGTTCCGCTCCCATGATAATCCATTAATCTATTAATCAATTACATTTTGGTTTTCTAAACATCACCTCATGAATGCCCGTTCTGCTTGCTATTCTACATGCTTGGCAAAGTCCTCATGATACAATCACCCCTTAAAGGCCTTTCAATACTGACACACTGGGGATTACATTTCCAACATACATTTGAAATTTGGGGGGCACATTCAAACCATAGCATGCACCAACATTTTACTGAATGCCTACCAGGTAGAAGGAATAATCTTAAGTAGAAATGTAAATAAGTAGAGACCTTTATCTTTGAAGATCATATGCTACAGCAGGATATATATATACACATACATATATATACACACATACATGCATACATATGCACATATATATATATATATATATATAAATAAATAAATATACATACATACATAAATATAATTTGTTATTTGGGCTACTTTTCCCCCAATATATTCTACCTGCTTCTTTTCTTTCCTAATCATCCTACCCCTTGCTTTAGAAAAAATACATCAGCCATTATTTCCTCAATACTTTCCTACCTTGGTTCTTTGCTTATTATGTGCTTGAAATTCCCCACAATCTCCATGTGTAGACATCCTACCAAACTTTTAGAAGTAGTTCAAAGCCATCCATGAAGAAGTCTTCCTGGTACTTTTAGCCATTTTAGCACTATTACAAAGATCAGTAGACCTGTATCTTACTAATAATTTAGTTATTTAATGCTCAACATGTTCTATACATACCAAGCACTTGATATCTGCTCATGTTCATCTAATCAGCAAACATGCAATAAGTTCCTACTGCATGTTAGGCTCTATTTCACAATTGGACAGTAGCTAAGAACACGGTAACAAAATATCTGCCAAGCCCAACTCACCTTATAGATGTAAAGTGCATGAGAGAGACAAAAGCAAATGAACAGCTATTTAATATTTATTTATTCAATTGATAAATGTTGCTGAGAAAAATCAGAGGACAGAATAATAGGAAGTGCCAAAGTGCATGGTGCTTCATTTATGTAAGTGGTAAAGGGGAGTCTTACTAATAAGGTGATATTTGATCCAGAAACCTAAAGAAAGTGGGAGGGTGGGCTCAGAATACCTGAAGAAGAGAGTGTGAGGCAGAGGGTACACCAACTGCAAATGCCCCGAGAAGGGAGGAGGCTTGGCATGTTTGAGGACCAGCAAAGGACCAATACAACTGGAGGAGAAGAGGATAGGGAAGGAAGGTTATAGGAAACAAGTGCTGAGGGCTTCCAGAGGGGCCAATGGGCTGTACTGAGGTAAATAATATGGAAGTCACTGGTGACTTTGATGATAGTGAGGAGGAAGCTTAAATTTTGTGGGTTCTGAAAATGAATTAGGGAAGGAAAAATGAAAAGAACAACAACTCCTACAAATAGCTCTTTCTAGTGTTTTTTTGTTTGTTTTGTTTTTGTTCTTTGTCTGAGGGAAGCAGAAAAGTAGACCAGAAACTAAAGAGGAATGTTGGATCAAGGGACTATTCTTTTTTCAATTTGGTTGTTTTTCTCTCTCATTGTCTCTCTCTCTCTCTCTTTTTTTTTCTTTTTTTTTTTAAGATGGGAGTAATAACAGCAATCCTAGGGATGTTGCAGAAGAGAAAGAAAAATTGATGTTGCTGAAGAGAGATGACGTAATGATAGTTTGAAAAGGTGAGAGAAAATGGGCTTTAGATCACAATTTTGATAAGATTGTGTTCAGTTTATTCAAAGAAACACAGAAACCAGAGCTTGTGGGACCAGATGGGCAGATGTGATGCAAGCTTGCAGAAAGGCTTGTTCAATTGCTCATCTTTGTTGAATGATCTGAGAGCATGTTTACAATTCTGTGCCTTTCTTTACATTAATGAAAAACAGAACTTATCAGCAACTATCATGGGCAGCCTCTACCTTTACATTGTTCCTCATGCTCTTCATGGCTTTAGGTCAATGTTTGTTTATCCTTATCGAATTGAATTTATTTCTAATTTTCACTTTAAATTTCTAGCTCTGTTCAGGCACACCAATTTGTCAAATACAAATTTAAAATGGACAATGAATACTCTGAAATATCTTGAATTTATTTTATGTGTATCACCTTGCTAAAAACATATAGAGACATATGTTTATATATAAATAAGAAAGACATTGTATGTGTACTTAGAAGTCTACAAGAACTGCCAATTCCCATTTTATGAGGCGGCAGTGAATCCGATTTATTAAGAACAAGTGCCACGAAAATTGATTATAGCCAGCAAAAATCTTAATTCATATAATATTCATAGCTATTATGACAAGGCAAGGACCGAAGAAGACTGTTTCTATGACTTTTAACAGATGTCACAATAAGATAGTACTGTGGTCAAATGAGTTTTAAAAATTCTATGCTAAACATTACTTTTGGATGCTGGAGAGGCTTTAGATTACCTTGTGCATGTAAATTCTCAAGGGGGTGATATGCAACGTATGGCTTCCCAAATCTACTGAACCATGTAAACCTTTTTCACGGAAAATCCTACAGAATTTTTGGTCTACAGAACATACTTAGAAAAATGTTGAATAAAGTGATGCTTGGTCTGAGAGACAGAATAACCTGAGGAAAATTTAAAAGAAAGAACTGTCTTAAGTTACGGCTATATCAAGAGTTGGTCTTATCAACAAAAAGCTTTCACCTTTAAGTTGTTATTTTGAATAGTTGGCTTTACGTTAAACATTATTATTCCTTCACACTCAGACAGCATATTTTTCAACATTAACTATAACATTATCATTTCCTAAAAGAACCATCCCAGCATATGTGTATTTTCTCAAATTTTTGATTTTTGAAATAGTGTCTGAAGTCAAAGAAAATATTACATTTTAAAAACATTCAAAAAACTACTTAATAATCTCATTATCTGAAATAGCTACAGGAAGGGGCAAATAATCTGTCATTCAAAAAATTTATTTTAAGTAGTCTTTACCATTGCATAAAAAAGAAAATAATTAGAATTGTACCTATTAAGGATGCTACAATTACTTTTTATAATTTCTAATAATATATGTGTAGGAGTTTTATCTCCTGGAAATGGTAAAAACTGTCAAAGAGATGACATAGATATATATGGTAAAAACATATCTCAGTATGGTTGTAGTGAATCTTATTCCTCGAACCAATACATTTTAGAGGTGACACTTAGATTTCCAAAATAGTGGAAGAGACTACTTTTAAGACAATATGTTGGCTAGGCACAGTGGCTCATGCCTGTAATCCCAGCACTTTGGGAGGCTGAAGTGGGTGGATCACCTGAGGTCAGGAGTTTGAGACCAGCCTGACCAAAATGGAGACCCTGTCTCTATTAAAAATACAAAATTAGGCAGGCATGGTGACACATGCCTGTAATGCCAGCTACACAGCAGGCTGAGGCAGGAGAATTGCTTGAACCCAGGAGGTAGAGGTTGTGGTGAGCCAAGATCACGCCATTGTACTCCAGCCTGGGCAACAAGAGTGAAACTCCCTCTCAAAAAAAAAAAAAAAAAGAAAAAGAAAAAAAAAAAGAAAGAAAATATGTCATTTTCCATTTCAAATCTAATTCTAGACTCAGATTTGCCACACACTTCAAAAGACTGTATTTATTCTTGAGTATTACTGATACTCTGGATGCAAAAACATAAGTAAAAACAAATTTTCTGTGCCACTTATAAAGGGAAAAAAATGAAGAAAAACACTTTGTAAGTTATATCCATTTGACATCACACTTCTGAATAAAACCTAAAACTTTCATTCAACTTTGCTAAATTTCCAGTTTTCTTGATTTCATAGTGAATCTGATATTCTATTTAAGGCACAATTTACATGAAGGGATCAAATGAATTTCCGGGCATCTTCTGGTCCAGATTTTTTTCTTTGGCTAGAATTAGTGTGCAATTCCTGACGGGCCTGAAGCTGGAGCTGATTGGAACACTCCATGGAGACATGAGCTACTTAAGTGGCCAGTTTTCCCTCTGCATTTTTTCTGAACTATTTTGACTGCAGTTCACATGAATCATGGCAATAATTCAATTTAATTCAGCATACATTTATTAAGCATTCACTAGGCCCAGGTGATAGACATAAAGAGATGAAAATATATACTCGCTGTCTGTACATTGTCAGTAATCTAGTTGGAGAAAGATACTCTGCAAAGTAGCTATGCAATGATGAACTGTTATATAACATGAGGAAAGACATACTATTGCTTTGGAAGTAGAGGAGAAAGTAACTGATTTCATCTCCAATTAATTAGAACCTTACAGAAGTGGCATCTGTATTAGGTATTTAAAACCTTAGGCCCAGCTCAAATCCAGTAGCTTAACAAGAGACAACTGACTATTTAGAGAAAAACATAGACTGCATTTTGTGAATTTTATTATTGAATTAATGCATTAATTCAATTCATTAATCATTAAACATGTATTTAATGAGCATATATTAATAATAAGCTCCTTTAAAAAAAAAATAGGCTACAGCTATAGTTCTGAACATAGAGTAAACACCCTGTTCTCATTTAAATGAAATTCTGGGAGTTAGGGAGACAAGCAAGAACAGATCAGAAACATTCATAGAGATAAATAAAAAGATTGTGGTAAACAGATAAATTCAGTGGAGGATTTAAGCAGGATAACATGAGGGAGCTCTCCCATAAAAGCAGCACATCAAAAGCTGCTTTTATGGGAGTGCTCAGGGACAGCTTGTTTGAGAAAGTCACACTGGTGTGGACATACAAAATATGAGAAGGAGCCAGTCAGGCAGGAGGAGGCATGAGATTATGGGAAAATGATTCGAACAAGGAGGCTATCAAGTGCAACAGCCCTCAAGTGCACTATTATTGCAAGGACTTAATGAAGAAGGTGGGTGGGGGGTTAAATTGACCTTAGAGATATAGACAGGAGCTACAATAAAAGAGAACTCTAGAACACAGCAAAGAGTTTTTGTTTCATTCTACATTTAGGCAATAACTTCCTGACAAAGGTAACTGTGGCTACTCAAAGCAGAATATATTTGGGTGAAAAACAAAGATGATTAATACATTTACTTTGGAGACTATTAGCTTATTAAAAACATTGATGGTGGCTTCTTTAGAGTGGTAGCATAGAAGTAAACAAAGACATAACAACTGAAAATACAATTTGTTCATAAATCAGAAAGAATGTCTGGATAGATGAGATGGGGGATGACGGTGGAGAGTAAAGAGAAAAATCAAATAATGTGCTTATATTTTTGCTTGTTAGTTTATCTAAACAACTGGGTATAATGTTATGTAATTCCCTGTGGTGGGGAAGATTGAGTATTGCACTCTCCAGTGTTACAGCATGTATATCTATTATCAATTTACAACATTGCTGTATACAGAAGAGGCCTCATACACACAATATTCCTCTTTACATCCTAGTTAATGAGGCTGATAGGACACATACTAATGCCAAGCACTAAGACAGATGCTTAACTTACACTTTCTCATTTAATCTTTATAAGTCCATGATGATGGCATTGTTTTAATCCCCATTAGATAGCTGCGAAAGCTGATACTGTAATTTGCTTGTGTTGACTTAAGGAATGAATGTCAGAAATTGGATTTTAACCCAGACCTGGATCTAGTTCCAGACATGGGCTTGAGTTTATTTAGGAAAATATGATGTGGATAACATTTCATTTTCCATTTTCTCACTGAAGAATCCTACCCTTTGCATAGCTCTTTGTAGTTTAAAAGCATTTCAGAATATGCAGTTCTCATCAACTCTCAAGTAGATCTTCAATTTTAAAGAGGAGGAAATGGAATCCATAGAATTTAATGTAATTTACCAAGGTCACACTATCGAGAAGAAGAATCAGTATTTAAATAAAGTTCACTTAATGCTATAGGCCATGCTCTGTTCTCAGCTTAGGTTATTGGGTTAAAATGCTGGCCAATGCATGACTTCAATAAAAAAGTGCCATCCTGGAAGAAAATATAGTCAGTTATGCATTATTTGGTGAAGGAAATGGAGATGATGTTGTGATGAAAGCAAAGGAACTTATTAACTAACATAATTTTATTTTAGCAAACTGACTATATTTTAAAATATTTTTGTACTATTTACCCAATGAGAAAAATCAAAGCTCCTTGAGACTTTTAAAGAATACAAATGCCGTATGTTTGTATTTTGTCTGCTTTTTAAGCAAATATTTTTCTATTTGTTGGCAATATGTAGTTAAGAGAGAATTTGATTAAAAAGCTGTTTTTTTATTCCAAAGCACAGAAACTTAGATAAAATTCTGCTATGTTTTACGTGCCCTTTGTATATTCAAATATGTTATGTTATTGATAATAAAATAACCTATCTTTTTAAATCATTACCATAGTCATTGGACTCTGAATGTTTGAATGGCTTAATAATTTTATGAAAAATAGAGAAGAATAACAAAGTGAATGCTTTTAGGAAGACTGCAAAGTATTTGTGTTGGAATCGAAGTGTTGTGGATCTTTTTCTGTGGAAGATTTTAGGAAGAAAGGCACCTAAACTAAATCTGCTGCTTCAGCAATTTGTTTTCCACTGAAAAGCAACAAAGAAAACATTAAGTACACTACATTTTCTAATTTGAAAATAATGCCATATTTAATAAACATCACAATAGTGTTTATATGGACTAAGAGTGAGAATGGGGAATAACTTCATTGCATATAACTGAAGTGATACAGATTTCTTTGAAATATACTTCTGCAAATAAAACAAGGGTGCTTCTTTATCTTGTTTAATTCATAATTGTTATTTTTCATTACACACATCTTCATTTTCTTTCAATAAATTAACATTTTAAACTGAGTATACAGTGTATGAGCTATACAAAGCTTAGTGTTATTACACAAAATTTCTCCTAGTGATTATGTCCTTGTGCTTTTTGTATCATAGCCAGGCTGACACTAACAATATCTGTATTATCTGAGAATTCACCAAGAGATGACAGGAAGAGGAAGTGCAAACATGCACCAGAGGATATCCCCAGGGCTAACGCAGGAATGAGATGAGAGTCAATGAGTCTAAGAGTCTGAAAATGTTAAGAGTCAGAAGGTACCCTGGAGATCTTACCCAAATCCATCCTTTCTATAAGAAGAAACTGAGAATCAGAGAAGATAAGCAATTGCCTAAGCCACAATGTGTTTTTGGCCAAGTGGTATATGCTGACCACAGGCCAATATCACAAAGAAAAATCTGAGTAGAGATTTAGTTAGAGATATAAAGAGAGAAAAGCAATTAGTTCAGCAGATTTCCCCTGCTGCCTCAGCCACTATCTAAAACTTAAAGAGCATCTCAGACATTTAACACTTCTAGATTTTAGTAACTAACATTTAGTGAAGCAATTTTCCAATGTATTAAATAATTTTTTCAATTCTCATAGCAAAGTTAAAAAAATGCATAGAGACATATTTTAAAAGAACTGATGGCCTGTCATAGCTTAACTGAATGTCATATGATTTTATTTAATTACTAATACAAATATCCACAATGATATAAAAAGAGATAAGGAAAAGAAACATGTTTTTCTGTTTAAAGATAATATGAGATGTAATCATCTTCTTTGGAAACATGTGCCTATTGTGCTGAAAAAATTCAACCCTTAGAGAAATATGAACTATGTACTGTTTAAACAATCCTTACATTTAAAATTCTAAAGGTTGTCCATTTTCTATCATTGTCTTTTCATTATTAAATATTTCTTGCATTTAATTTTCACACAACTTGTTTTAATCAACTCAGTTGAACAGGATGAAGGTTACAGCTCAGAAAACGTCTAACCCACGCAATTTAACAAAGACAACATTTGCCAAGTCGTGGATTTTGAGTAATGATAGTAACTTCAACTTCCTGCCTATTGGTACCAGTGAATGAAAGACAAACTATTTGAAAACAAAGATGATGCACTTAACACAGAAAAACTCAATCTCCTTAAATACAAGTAGGAAAAAAAGATCAAAATCTAATCTAATAAGGCATGTGCTTTGCATATTCAGGTTCTAAAGACAAGCACAACATTGAGTTTCAATTGCTCCTCTACATCTTCATTGTGAGATTTATCGGCTCAAAAATAATATATTGTATTTTATTCTTAATGTTATAAATAACATCTGCTGCAGTTTTTCAACTAATTCTATCTTCTTCAAACCATAAATTGCATGATGATATCTGTCATTAGTGAGAGCAAGATTATCAAATAAAGAATCCTTCAATTGTTGTCCCGTATTGGTAAGAACATTTTGTTCAAGAAACAGCAGAAAGAAATTGAATGCCAGAGAACCACAGGAAGGTTAAGTAAAATCAGTTCCCGGACCTTGGGGCAAGTGACAAAAACCTGGGAGCAAAATTGGAGTGGGAAGAATAAAATCTCAGGATGGGAAAGAACCAGGAATGAAATGATCACATCAGGAATTATTTAAGTGAGGCAGACAGCTTCAAAGGAGCAAGCCAGTGAGTTATGAAAAGACCAAAACAGTAGAGACATCGAAGCGGTTCAGGTGGGAAAATCAAATCATTCTTTAGTAGATTGTGCAGCAGGCTTGGTAAGAAGATACTAGGAACTGATTAACTTCTTTCATTCCTTAAGATGTGAATTATCTTCAAGGAATTGTCTGGATCTGACATTACTTTATATCTCAAAATTACACAATCTTCTTGTTTGTTTTCTTTCATTTGCTAACTTTGAGTTATAAATGGACATGTAAAACAGAACTTCCAAATTTACAAAAAGGATAAACGGAACTAAGAAGAAAATCACTAAATCAAAGAAGAAATAATCAAATCAAATCAATGCATACAATTAAACATATTGGATACAATTTAGTGGCTAACCCTAATTTTAAAACATGAAGCACAGTAGTAATAAAAAGTATCCAAATGTTGTAAATAACATTAAAATATTTGGTGTTCAAAGGAGGAAAAATATAAGTGAGAAGCTCAAGACAATAACAAGTTTGAGCCTCTGAGGGATTTTATAATGGATATATAGTAACTTTTTTGGATTCACTATGTTATGGCATATGAATCTAGGTTGTAAAGTTTCTAATTTTTGAAAACTTAATTTACAGCTTTAGTTGTAACCAAAGAGCATATACTGTTTTGAAAGTGGTAAGAGAGGAATACCTGTTCTTTTTCTAAGTAAAAAGTCACTAGTATTTTTCTTCTAATCTGTAGTTGTCATAGCCAGTTGCATATGCTTCTATTTAAAAAAAAATTAAAGCACTCTCACCAAGAGTTCATAGGTTTCTCCTTGCACAGACATAAAGAACAGATTCTTATGGTACTTTTACACCATCTCTACTCCCCTCACACAATCCCATGGAATCACCCCGCACCTCTTTCATCTGATAATTTCCAGGTTGTTCATTACAGTATAGCTCTCCAAATTCAAAGAAACTTGCTTGATATGAATGCTATGATTCCAACTGTCACTCAACACCCATTTATATTAATAATCTGTTGTCTAATATTATTTTACAACTCTTTTTCTTTACCTAGCTTGAGATGAGATCTATTATTTCTAATTTCTGTGAGGTTAAAATATTCCTCTTTGGATTTTTCTTAAATAGAGTCTATTCTCTTTCCTTTAGAAGTAATTTGTTTGTTTGAAAGCTTGTAAGATTTACTCTCAATTTAAGTAATTTTTCCTATGCTATATCAAAGTGATTTTCTTTTTCCATTAATCTCTCTAGGAGCTTCATGATATCTTGAATTTGAACACTCAAGCCCTCAAGGAATGCTTACTTCTATTACTTCACCGATTCTTAATTCTCCCCCATCTGTTTATTTCCTTTTTTCTTTAACTATAATTTGCAAAGTATTTGCTTATTACTTATATGTTCATGAATATATTTCCCCCAGTTTTCTCTCATTATTTCACGTTTATATACTTTTTGTTTCATAATTAACTTTCCACAGTCACCACTGTATTTTTGTTTTATTAAATAACTCTATTTTAGAAATCCTGACATTTAGTTTCAGAAAGTTTATTTTGAGCTCTAATTACATCACATTGAAGTATTTTTCCATGATTTTTAATGTTTTCTTCTTCTTACATTCCATCTGTTTTTACTTAATATAAGCAACCTGCTCTAATTATTTTGTTTTTCCTCTTTTTCTCAACCTATTGAGTTCTTTCTCTATCCCTCTCTTTTCCTTGGACTAGTGGTGGGAGTGGATTACCAGCTTCCTTGTTGATCATCACTAGAAAGCTGAAGACTATATGCTGGCCTTTGTTTCAGTGGGCATATGTAGAATACATAAGCAATCAAAGACTCATCTCTGGAGTCATCTGAAGGAGTCCTCCCTAATCTCATCTCCATGCAAGTACAAATGAGGGAGAAGTAGTCACTATATAATATGAATTGGTAATAATTTTCACCACCCGCTAAGACCCATTCAGACTACTGGTACTTGCCCATTTGGGATTCCAGTGCAAGAACTCAAGTTGAACGTTTCAGTTCTATTCCATATCTTGAGATAACCTACTTGCATTTGCCAGTTTTGCAGCCTCAAGAAGTCTTTAAATCTGCAGTCTTTTCTCTGCTCTACATGGCCCTTGGACCTTCACCTTCTCTCTCCAGAGAAACAGTAAGGCAAGTAAATGGAGAAAAGATTGTTTTTCAATAAATGATACTGGAACAATTGGACATCCGCTTGCAAAAAAAAAGAAATAAAAAGAAAAAAGCAAGTCTGGACACAGATCTTACATTTTTCACGAAGATTAATTCAAAATGGATCACAGACCTAAATTTAAAATGCAAAATTATAAAACTCCTGGAAGACAACAGGAAAAAAATCTAGATGAGCCTGAGTTTGGTGATGTCATTGCAAATACAATACCAAAGGACCAAAGGCACAGTATATGAAAGGAAAACATTATAAGGTGGTATCATAGTAATATCTTACACTGAGTAATTTGTACAGAACAGAAATTTATTACAGTTCTTGTGGCTTATAATATGTTAATAAGGGAAACTGGGGGAATGGTGATGGGGGTAAACTTTGGATAAAGAAACATTCTGTACTTTTCACTTATTTTTCTCTCTAAACTTAAAACTGCTAAAAATGAAGTCTATTAAAAAATACAAGTGTAATAAGTATGATGTCCATTTAGGAAAATATTCCAAGTAGTGTGTCCTTTCTTTCAGCATATAATGTAGGACTCCAGAAGTACCAAGAAATCAGATAATATAGCCTCATTATCTTTATACTATGAGTCAGAAAGAACACTAAAGTGGCTATAATTCGTTTATATTTCTATTTCCTTGTCCTTAGACACATTAAGTATCAAATCCCTCTAGCATACTTAACAATGTAGATCCTAGCTAAGCTGTACATAAAATGGGAATTATTTTGAGTTGCAAGACTGGTTTTTTTTGAGGTGACCAACCATTTTAACAGAAACAATAATTCAATTTGAAGTCATATATAGCTTAGAAAACAAGGTGCCACACACTGGAATAAATTGATTTGTGGTAAAAAAAAATTGCAGGATAAATCAGACTCTGGATTTCAATCCTATCTTTCCTGTCTTACTTTGTGACTTAAGCAATTCAAGCAACATCTGAAACTATGTCAATCAACATCAAATACATGCTGATCATTAGCTAATTGCTAAAGCTTAGGTGCTGAGTATATAAATTAAAAACTGTGGTCACTTTAAAGGCTAATTTTATGGTCTACAGCAGAGCTGTATAGGAAAACAATATAAACCATATAAGTAATTTTATATTTTCTAGTAGCCATATTTTTAAAAGATGAAAAAGAAAAAGGTAAAATTGATCTTAATATGTTTCATTTAACTTGATATATTCAAATATCATTTCACACAATGTTATAGGTTCCTTTTTATTCTAAGATTTTGAAATACATTGTGTGTTTTATACTCACAGCACATCCCAATTTCTACTAATTACATTACAAATGCTCAATAGACATATGTAGTTAGTGGCTACCACATTGAATAGCGTGGATCTAGGGGTTGATATGAAAGGAAAGATGATAATTTGTGTGATGGAAATACAAAATGGTTGAACATGCCCTTACATCATCTTAGGGAATTCAGAGAAAGTTTATCTAGATCACATTTGATTAGAGACATGGTAGATAACAAAGGATGAGTAGCCTGTAAGGATGCTTTGGGGAGAAGGGCAGTCCAAGTGAAGAGAATAGGGGAAAAAATGTGTGCAAGGAATATTGTTCTTGTACAGATAAATTGTGCAGAATGGGCAGAGGGAGATGAAGCAAGCAAAGCACCAAACCAGTATGAATATTGAATCCTGGGCTAATATTACAGAAATAGTTTTTTTCTGAGAGGATAAGTAAATCGACTCTTTGCCCTAGTACTGCTGTTAACTAAATATGCAGCTTGATTAAAGTCATTTAAATGTACTATTTCCAGTTCCTAGTTTCTGCAACTTTAAAATTGAGTAATTAAACTAGATAATCTCTAATTTTCTTCCCAATTATTAATGCAACATGCAAAAATTACAATGTATGAATTAAAATGGTTCGAAATTTAGATTCATACAGAAATGTCAAAGTTGGCATTCAAAAATAGAACAGTACAATTATGTTACCCAGTTATTTAAGTCTGTTCCAGGAAAACATTAAGATAGTGACTGCATTTTTAAATAATAACAATCAGTGCTGTATTTTATGTGTCAACATTTAAATTCCTACCCCCGTTTTCCTAGAAGTGGAAAGTATTTTAATACAAGAAATGTTGAGGCTTTCTCTGTTTTTCATGTTGGATGCGTTCTGAAATTTTAAGTTCACTAAATTTCTCTATGTTTTGCTTAAATCTATTCTTCTGAACTAAACTTGGAAATAATGTATTGGCTGAATCATGGGGAATCCACAAAAAAATTAACATTCAATTTCTTTGTCTATCCCTATACATTCAAGACTGCTTAACTAATAAGAAAACTATAGAAATATAAAAGAGATTAGCAACAAAGCAAGATATAAGCACATTAAGGTCATCCTAGGGCTGAAACATTTCATCAAAAAAGATATGCTCATCAATCTTTCCTAGAGGCATGTAGAAGAGAAACTGTCTTTGACTTCATAATGGTAAAGAAATCAGTTCGTTTATAAATGCCTATGGCAAATAATGCATTGAGAGACAAGCTATGTATGAGACAAGTAGTTGTAAAAGGTGAAATTTTTTTGTCATTCTATGGTACTTTCTTAGAAACATTGTAGTTCTACATTTTTAAAACACCATAGTCCAAAGAGTTAAGTTACACCAATTAAAAAATCAAGAGTCGGCAAACAAACAAAAACATGGAGAGATTTTTTTATAAAGCATGAACAAAAGCATACACATTTTTATGTGAGGTGTGAATACTGACTGAGACAAAAAGTAGGAGATAGTAAACTGACTGTTAGAGAAGGTAGAAATGCAGATTGAAAGACCAATATGATCGAGTAATGACAGAATAAAGGATGGTGAAGGTAGTCCAAAGGAGGCTGCAGTCTAAAGAAAGCCATCTCCAATGAAGTCTAGAAAATGAATGGAGAGTCAGCAGAATCCATTAAGGGTATGTTTCTTTTCAGAAGTGAGAGGGTAGGGAGCACAACTCTGCCCAGCAAATGAAGCTTGAAAAAGTGTCTACTGAATTGAGAATGCATAAAGAAGACAGCTGATAATGAAGAGATGAATTTCTTGGAGTTTCTGTCAAGATTGAATGGGGCCACTTGTAATATTATTATCGAGCTTGTGAGGCATAATAGGAAGTTAAAGGTGGACACCCATGCAGAAATCAGTTGGAAAGCAGGCTTGATTTCTGGGAGGTCTGTGATGAGGCAAAGGAAAAGCATTTTGAACAACTTCAACATCTGGACTGACAAAAAGAAATGGAGGAAGTAGAATCATGTTTACATTAAGTGAGCCCTCTTAGTACAGAAACCAACATCTGGCTTTGGTTACATTTATCTGAACATAGTGAAAATGTTTGAATTAACCCAAAAAGATTAGACTAAATTTCATAATAGTGTTTACACAGCAAAATAAATGACAAAACAGATACATGGAAAAAGTGTCTGTTTACGCACACATTTCAAAGACCATGGATATAGCACCCCGAGCTACATTATCTTAGCGTGGTTGACATAAAACAGGGCTCTGCATAAACTCCTAATGATGGCTATTACAAATTGTGTTAAGCTAAGGTGGTTTAAACACAGATATCCCATGCCTTTTGTTTACTGCTATGATAAAAAGAGTCTGAATGCATTTCTACTAAAATTAAGAGGCAACATTATTAGGAAGTATATTTAAATTTTATGTTCCTACTATCAATAGCATTTCAGGTGACACCTTTATTTTTTGGAATTATAGCTCTCACAATAAGTTTTCTTTTATCCCTCTTTTCTCCATAAACAAAAATATTTGGAGCTTTGATTTGTTAGTACATTCAGAACGAGTACTTATTATCTTCACAGAAGTAACCTCAATTTTCCTTGGCCATATTGACTGGGTTTCATAAATATTATGGACCACTTATATGTAGTTTATAGCTTAACTTTGTTTCAGAATCCAACTTTTGCTCTTATCATTGAAACACCTGACTTTAACCAGGGATCAAAGGCAAGTAACATATGATCAGGAACAAGATGTGATCACCTATCAAGAAAGTGAGTGCATTTAAGTGGAATAAACAGTTAAATTTTGGAAAAAAAGTTTTATTCCTTTATTAAGAAATAGTTCAGGCTGGGTATGGTGGCATGGGCCTGTAGTCTCAGCTACTTGGGAAGCTGAGGTGGCAGAATCACTTAACTCAGGATTTCAAGGTTTCAATGAACTATGTTTTCACCATTGCACTCTAGCCTGGGTGATAGAGTTAGATCCTGTCTCAAGACAAACAAACAAACAATAAACAAACACAAAAAAATAGTACAGAATTCTTGGTTCTAAAAGAAACAACTAGATTTAAGAGCAAATATAAACATTATTTTTCAATATGTTGATTCCAGGTATGGTAAACAAGATCTAATTATGTAGATCAAGGGTGTTTTGAGTTAATAGTTTCAGGAGATCATGATGGGAAGAGTGCCTAAACTAAACATGTGGGATACCAAGCCTGAAGTGGGAGAGAGAATTCAGTTAAAAGCATCACCTTTTCCAGGACCTTACAAATCATCTCTTTTCTGGAGCTCTGACTCTACTCTTTAGCTCTTTGGTGAAGCAGCTGAAGCTTGTGTCAAAAATAATGTGACTTTTGGCAGAGAATAAAAGACCTCACCTAGAGCAATATTCAGGATGGTGCATCAGTGCTGGAAGATGAAGCCTGATACAGTTCAGTCATTTCAGGAAACACTTGTGACCTAGCATGCAATGTGCTACGCTAAAAGTCAGAGGGCATCATTAATATACCAGTATTTGAAAAAGAAATTCAATAGCAAGTCATGTTCTACTTTCAGGTTATATTAGGAGTAAGTGATTAAAGGTCAATAACAATTTCATCCAATTTAGATCTAAATTTTTCTCAAATTCTATGTTTAATAACTCCAGTGAAGAGCTCTATTTTGATCATTCCCAACTAGTTCAAAGTAATGCCCAATTTTTTGTTAAGATTTAACATGAGAATTTGAACGTGTGATTTTTATTTTCATTTTTTTGTATTTTCATTGTTTATATAGTTGCATTTTGGATTATTAACAGTTAAAAAAATGTTAAAAATAGTTCCAATTTCACTGAGGGATAATTTCTAAAGATAAAGTTTGGCTAGGTATATTCTAGTCAATTCTTAGAGTAGTTCCTTACATACTCATAAACTGATTCTAGAGTTGCAATTGCCAAACTAATATGCCTTCTTTGTTTTAAAGAAGAAAGTGTTTTTTTCAAGTCATAAATGTTGTTTAGCCCACTCAATTCTGAAAGTGAATTGTGTGTTTCTCAGCCGCCTATCATTTAAATGTAGAAAAGGATTAGGAGAACAGATATATAACGGAGGGTACTCTTAAACAAATTACTCATATTTAGACAGTTTATGTCATTAGACAGCATAGTAGCAAATTTATGAGACAATCACAATTCCAGGAAATAGGCACGAATGTGGCTGCCATAAATGCTTGGGATATGAAAAATAAAAAGGACTCAGAGCCAAAGAAGATATATCTTCTAAAATTCAGTATCTAAATACCAAATTTAGGAAGATGAGAAAACGGTAGATAACATGGTTAAATTTATTAAGGGGAAGACCTTTATGAAACTCTATCCAAAGTATGACTTAACGTCTACTCCATAGTCTTACATATGAAGCTTTTTAATATTTCATTTGTTGAGGCATGGTCTGACTGGTGACACAGCCCTGTGCTTATAGATCTTAGCTACTCTCTTGTTTTTTCTTTCTTGTGTGTGTGTGTGTGTGTGTGTGTGTGTGTGTGTGTATGTGTAGGACACTTAACAAATCTACCCTTTTAAGAAATCTTTAAATGAGCAGTAGAGCATTGTTAATTATAGTCACCATCTTGTACAGCACTTCTCTATAACTTGCTCATTTTGCATATCTGAAACTTTATGCTCATTGAACAATTCCCCATTTTCCCTTCCCCTCAGTCCCTGCAAATACTGTTCAATTTTCTGCTTCTATGAGTTTGACAATTTTAGATACCTCACGTAAGTGGAATAATACAGTATTTATTCTTCTGTGTCTGGCTTATCTCACTTACCATGTGTCCTCTATCTAGGTTCATGTATGTTGTTGCAAATGACAAAATTTCTTTCTTTTGTAAGGCTGAATAATACTCCATTTTCTACATATACCACATTTTCTTTATTCATTTATCTGTTGATAGACATTTAGGCTTGTAAAATAGGCTATGGAACACAGTATGAAGGTTTCTCAAAATATTAAAAATATGCATTCTAACATGTATGGAAAGTATAATGTTCTAACATGATAAAGAAGGTAAGTGTTTTGTTTGTTTTTATTAACACATTTATGTGCCTGATATCTTTTCTAAGAGTTTTTTTACTTATTTATTTTGCTAAAAATGATAAATTCTCTTATAGCTTGCTTAAAAATAAAAACCTAACTTATTTTTGAGAAAAATATCTTATACTGAAGAAGTAGCCTTAATTTATTTTTTGACCTAGAATAATTTTAGACTTTAACTCAACTTCTATGAAAGCAGTAAGGATAATTTAACTTATGTTTTTCCATAAGATGAAATTTAAACTTATACAACAAAAACATTAAAATGCAAACTTATACAACATAAACATTAAAAGAGCAAAAAATGATCATATTTGGAGTTTTTAAACTTATATTTTCTTAACCTCCAACTCTATTTCTGAAACGCAAAAAACAGTTCAATTAAGCTAGTCTTACCAGTTAAAGAGTAACAGAAAGGGGTAGATTTTTTCCAAAGTACTCTATTGTTTTTCTATCATACTATAATAGATTTTCAGCATATGATAGAATTATATTTCACAGAAGATACACAGCATTCTGACCTCAAGACCTAATATTTTTTAGTCCTAGAAATAGGCAGTAACTTCCTCAAGTAGTTTCTTCAAGAAACTAACCTAAAATGAAAATTTCACAAGGCAAGCAAAGGTGCATTATCTGTTACCTTCTGGGTTCACAGCATCCTGACTGAGTTGAAGTTGGGGAAAAATAAATATGGAGACTTTTTACTATAAGGATATATTGTGAAATTAAGTACAAGTTTTCTCCAAAGCCCCTTTCCCATAGAACTTATTAAGGGGAGGGATGAGGTGGATGAGAAGGGGTGTAGTGGTATTTCAGTGAATTTATAAAGCTAAACAAGCTTGATCTGGTTAAAGTCAAACATGGCCATTTTACCAATATGGCTGTAATAATGGTGAACTCTAAGTACAAATCATGATTTTCAGTGGCAAAAATTAATGAAGTGCATTCGACTCCTTACCAGCTCTGACTCTGGGTTTTTTTAACGAATACAAAGAAGAAAGTGTTATTCGGAGGGTTAAGAAATCTCTATTTGGTCCAGTGAATAAGTGTAGGTGTATTTCATTCCTGCAAATAATAACACTTAATATGAATCTCACCATAATTTTTTGAATTATGAAAATTTAATTTCAGTTCTGAGTACCAGGATTGGATGTTTCATATAGCTATATCGAATTCTCCTGTCATCTCTCAAGGTAGGTATTATCTCATTTTTCAAAGAAGAGGAAATTAAGCCTCAGATATCCTCAAGGCTATATTATTAACAAATGTTAATGAGTGGGATTTAAACCCGGTTCTGTCTATTTCAAAATCCACATCATTTCTAGTATTTCATATATCATCTAAGTACATAATTTTTTGGCTTAATCTGTTTGTATAAACTCAAAGTTTAAAATTCACAATGGTGAAATATGAATCATTGAGTGGTAACTTTCACAGTTTTTGCTAAAGGACAACTTCAAAATGGCAAGTAATCTAAAATTTAGTTTATGATTTTATCATTTTTTTGTATATAAAAATACAAAAGACATTCTTGAGTTTAGACTTTCCTAAACAACCTGACTTTTCTTTGCACAATTACCCAATCACACTCTGGAGTTCTATTCCTTTTTTCTTTCAAAACACATCAATAATGTTGTTATAATAAGGACCTGCCTATATCCCATTAAGCTTTTTACCCTTTCTTTCAAAATCCAAAACTTGTCTTGCAAAGAATAAAATTTTTAAAAAAGATAATAGGTGGCAGTCTGTTTAAGGGTTTCCAGTCCAGAAGAAAGACTGATGGAATGTCTTCCTCTCATGTTTGAGAACTCTTAAGTGGGGCCCTTGGATTTCATAAAGTTCTCTGGAAATTTATGCTTTATTCTGTGGTTAAGTGGCTAAGTCCCTTTTTCTGCCAATAGGTTCCATATATTTTATTGGATTACCAAGGGGCTCATGACTGAAAAGAAAGGTTAGAAACTCCTTAATGTCCTAGCAAAAGCTTGATTTTCTCTTGATAGTGTCTATATAAGTAAATGGGACAGAAAATACTATGAAGGCTAGTTGCACCTTATCCGATGAAGGCAAAGTATTTTCCCTTTAAAACCATACACAAACTACATGCACTTTATAATCATATTTGTTTTTCCTTTTAGGACAAGTTGTTTGAAATGAGCTTACATCCTGAAATAACCCCAAGTTATTGGGAACAAGACTTTTGAAAATTTCCTGGAAGAATGCATTGTTATTTTGAACTGGAAGAAAGGTTGAGGTAAAGTCTATTTTATACTGAGATATATAGGCAAAAGTTCCCTTGATATGAATAAAATGAAAAGAAAAGACAATAGGGTGCCAGTTTGTTTAAGGGTTTCTAATCAAAGATTCAGCTAGGTGCCCATCTGTGTTATCTAAATAGCTATTTCCCAAATTTAACTTTGAACTGGAACTTAATGACAGTTTTATAATGGAAATGACCCCTAAATAGGACATACAGGTTTTTTCCTTGCCTCATTAAACCTGGAAGAGGTGACTTTTATGAACCCCCCTCTGTTATCTTCAATAACACAGTGACTTAATGGCATGTGTGAATAAGACATTTGCTTAATCCATCACACTGGAAAGTATTTTCCCCAGATGATTCTAATTCCAAATTATACACACCCCTTTTGTTCCTAAAGACTCTAGTCTATCACTTACACAAAAGTTAGTTCCTTTCTAAGCCTAGCAGTTCAAAGTGGTTTGCAAAAAACTTCTTTTCTGAGCACTTCAACAAAGGTTGCCGTGAACAGTGACTGTCTGACAGCAAGGGATCCTGGTGAGTTTTCAGGTCATTGGCATTGGTGTTTTGAAACTGGCAGTTCTCTTCCTTGTTTCATTTAGCCTGCAATAATGATCATGCTTTTCTTAGAGAATAAATGGATTTTGGATACCAGTTTTTAGAAATTGGAGGGTTTTTAATTTTGTTTTATTTTACCTATTTCATTAGGATACGCTCATCCCTTAATCCTAGAAATAGACATTACCTTTTTCCTCATTGTCTTACATTATATTCTGGAGTCCAAATTCTGCTTGTTTATTGGTAGCATTTGGAACCCTTATCTTGTGGTCTAGCAGCTGCCGGGTGTACAGTTTCTGGGACATCATATAGATACTGTAAGACTAGCTTGTGGTCATCTTCCCTGTGCACCAGGAAGGATTTTTGACATTTCATTCAGTTCCCTGTGTATCCAGTTCTCTGTATAATGGATGGAATTGTTCTGATATCTATCCAGTGACCTTTGCTGGATTCTTACTATACCTTTATCAGAGTCCTCCATCTCCACAGTACTCTGGAGATAGAGTGTGCTATAGATATACAGAGAGAGAAAACACTTCAGATATCCAGAAAGGAAATTGCCACAAATCAGGCCCATTCTGTGGATAGGTATGCAAACCCAGGCCCACATCTTTTCCTACGTTTTGAATTAACAAGTTTGAATGGTCCCCTGGGTAGATGATTCTTGATTTTATTGCAAAAACAACTTTTAGTAAAGGAAAATACACACCCTTTGCACAAGTTTGCCATCTTCTGTAAGTAGAACAGCGAAGTTTATCTTTCACATTTCAAAATTTTCCCTATGTAGTCTTTTTTTCTATGACCATGACCACATTTGTCATAAGAATAAGTAAATCTTTATAAGAAAAGTAGCAGTGGATTTAATTTCAGAATATATTTGCATTTATGTACGTTATGTAACATCAATTTTTTCCTTATTATACTCTTATATTTTTATTTCTGACAATTACACAGAAACAAAATCCCGAGATTATAAAATCATTACTTTAATTTATGAAATTATTTTAGTATAACTAACCAAAATTAACCAAAAATTGTATCTATGAATAATTAAACATGGGCCCATGAAAAATCAAATATTTGGAAGGTTTAACTCTTAAAGTAAGAACTATTATTGAATTACTTTTATAATATTTCCAAATGCCTCTGCTTATGTTTTCAAAACCTTTTTAAACCTTTATTATCTCAGTCTAGTTTCATTGAATGAACTGGTTTCTGCCTATATGGATGATACATAAATATATAAACTAAAGGGCAGCCCTTCAATGGCATCTCAGGACACTGTAAAAGCAGAATGTTTTCTTTACCCTTGACTTATGTTAAGTATTCAGCTCAGGTTAGAGAAATGGTTGTTTCATTGCCCACCCTATTTTTCTTTGCCAGAGTAGATAGAGTATGCTTATCTATTAAAAGCACTCCAGAGCAACATTAAGCCAGGACACCTGTGGAGCTTGTCAACACAGGTTCTTAAACAGGTCACTGGTTGCTGGGGCAGCTTCAAGAACAGAATAACAAGCACTCTTTGGTATGGGTAACAGCAGTTTCAGTGTCTTCCTGTGGTCTGTGAAGAAGAGAAACTTAACAACAAGAAGAGGGAAAGGGAAGGTATTCATTTTCCCATTATTTCTGCTTTGATCACTAATCTATAGCTTTATTTATAAATCCCTGTACTAGTGCTAGTATCTATAGCAAACTATAAGTGTTTGAACAGAAGGTGTGTAACTTACTAAGGCTTTAATTTTTCTGAAGCTTGAAGACAATATGTGACGTTGATTTATGGCAAATTGGGCTTTCATTGCTACCCCAAAACTGCTTCTTTATCACAATGAAAAAGATGAGTGACTTGGGCAAATTTGGGATTATAATATCTTACTCTCTATATACTTGTTAGGATTTTGGAATTGTTAGAACCTCTGGAAAATAAATCTATTTTTAGGTCAGTAAAATGTTTAAAATAGGTTTCTGATAGTTTTGAAAAGCTATGATGTATAACAATTTATGTTTAGATCCTTTAATGGGAAGTGAGGCAGCAGGATGAAATAAATGCTGAAGGAATAGAATGTTACAAGCAATTATTCAATGCCTAGTGATGAAATCACAATGAGAAAAATATAAAACGCCCATAATGGGAAATATTACTTTAAAAAATTTTTGATTTCTTTTAGCTTAAAAGTCAGGGGTCTTATTACATGGTTAAATAGTATTTTTTTTCCTATTAGAACAAAACTCCTCATTTTCTTATGTGTCATTTGTAAAAGCTAGATGTAAGATATTGAGAAATAACCTGGGAATCAGATAAGCTTATACTTTACCCTCTTGGTACAAAATCATTATGTGGGGGGGGGCTATAGGAATCATCTATGTATTTCAAATACATTTTATAGTCATTAGAGACAACATTTTTTATTAGTCTTTTATTATCTTTTTTAATATTTAATTTTTATGAGTACCTAGTAGGTACATATATTTATGGGGTACATGTGATATTTTGATAGTCTTATAATGCATAATAATCACATCAGGTTAAATGGGGGGTATCACCTCAAGCATTTATCCTTCCTTTGTGTTACAAACATTCTTATTCTTTCATTTTTTAACAATTTTTTTTTTTTTTTTTGTGGGGGGACGGAGTCTCACTCTGTTGCCCAAGCTGGAGTGCAGTGGTGCAATCTGGGTTCACTGCAACCTCTGCCTCAAGGCAGAGGCAATTGCTCAAGGCTCAAGCAATTCTCCCACCTCAGCCTCCGGAGTATCTGGGATTACAGGCACCTGCAATCATGCCCGGCTAAGTTTTGTATTTTAGTAGAGATGGGGTTTCACCATGTTGGCCAGGCTGGTCTTTAACCCCGTTGACTGTAGTCACCCTGTTGTTGTGATAGCAAATAGGAGATTTTATTCATTCTAGCTATATTTTTGTACCTATTCATAATCCTGACTCCACCCCTTTGCCCCACTACCCTTCCCAGCCCCTGATAACCATCATTCTATTCCCTATCTCCATGAGTTCGATTGTTTAATTTTTTTGCTCTCACAAATGGGTGAAAACGTGAAGTTTGTTTTTCTATGCCTGGCCTATTTCACTTCACATAATATCCTCCAGTTCCATCCATAATGTTTCAAATGACAGGATCTCATTCTTTTTGTGGCTGAATGGTATTATACTTCATTGTGTACCGCATTTTCTTTATCCATTAGTTTGCCGATGAACACTTCTGTTGCTTCCAAATCATGGCTATTGTGAATAGTGCTGCACTAAACATGGTAGTACAGATCTACATTTGATATGCTGATTTCCTTTCTTTTGGGTATATACCTAGCAGTGGGATTGCTGGATCATATGATAGTTCTATTTTTAGTTTTATGAGAAACTTCCATACTGTTTTCCATAGTAGCTGTGCTAATTTACATTCCCACTAGCAATGTACAAGCGTTCCCTTTTCTCCACATCCTTATCAGCATTTTTTATTGTTTGCCCTTTCAATAAAAGCCATTTTAACTGGGGTGAGATGATATCTCATTGTAGTTTTAATTTGCATTTCTCTGCCATTGGTATGTCTTTCTTAGACCTTTTGCCCATTTTTAATCAGATTATTAGATTTTTTCCTATTGAGTTGAGTTCCTTATATTTTCTGCTTATTAAGCGTTTGTCAGATGGATAGTTGGCAAATATTTTTTCCCATTCTGTGTGTTGGAAGACAACATTATTTCAATAAATGAAATCACATTCACTATGATGTCTCCAAATTACCTGTAACAAACCTTTAATGTTTGTATGAATTGAAGGAAAAAGAGAAAAAGATAATTTTCAGCATTAAATTATTTCTCAAAGGTTTTGCTCTTGACTTTTTAATACATTGTGAATTTCAAACAGCCAAATTACATTATGTTTAATGAAGCTGATGACTTCTGAAGAAAATACACATTTGATGTGTGGTAGGAGAAGAAGGAGAAAGTGTAGAGGATTCAAATGTAACAACAGCTTCTCTCCAGAGTGAAAACTCCCCAAATTAATTCTGGATCTGAGAGTTTGTTTTTGATAAACTCAGAATAAAATTGTTTCTTTAAATATCTGAATATAATTAAATGTCAAATTGAGTTTAGAAAATATAACACCCCAAAAAGTTAAAGTAAATATTATATTCATGGTATATGTCTGGCGGCAGAGGTGTAGACTTGCTAGAACCTAACTCTGAGGCAAGGGCTGTAGCTGGCAATTCACATAACCAGGATCTCCTTTTTCCCTCTTGCTGGAGGCCTGGATTCTTGTCAATGGAAGATAACACATTGATACCATCTCTTTGAATGTGCACTGCTATGTTACCAAATGTGTATTTGCAGAGTTTGAACAATAGAAACAATGAATGTAATAATATTTTGGAAAAGTAATCCTACCCACACCGAGAAGAATACGGTTTGAGAAGTTTTACGGTCTTGCCCTTCACAGCACAGATTTGGAGTGAATTCGAACAGGGCTTGACTCTTAGCCTCTCTGTTTATTGTGCCTGCCACTTCGGGAAAGTCACATAAACTCTCCAAACTTCAGTATCCTCACTTGGAAAATAGGGATAATGTTATCTATGCTGCCCTCTGTAGGGCTGTCATGAGGAATAAATAAAATAGTATATTTTAATTTCATGTCCACATTCCCTATATATTCAGTGGTACTAAAGAAAGCTTATTGGTTGCTGTTGTTTGTTTCAGCATAGAATTTGTTTCAAGTCCAGGTTCCAACACAAACTAGTCTGAGACGTTCATCTTGGAGTATTTTTTTGCTACTCTTTCCACTTCTAAAGATTGTCCTGAAAGATTGATAAAATATCATGCTCCTACTTTATAAGCTCTACCTTTTAAAATAAAATATTAGCCATACATTAATTTATAAAAAATGTTTTGTAGACATACATTGTGCCAGATACTATAAAGCACCAGGATAGAGCTATGCTGAGATCTGAATTCCTTACCCAGGGAGCTGGCAGTCTAATAGGGAGACAGAAAAACAAATGGCCATTACAATGAAGGATGAAAAAGAGATGAAGAGAGGGGATAAAAACAGTATCTGAGGAGCCTCGGTGGGAAGACTTTCTAGATGTGGTCAACCTGGAGCTGAATCTTGAAAGATGAGAGGAAAGTAGCAAGGCAAACAAGCAGAGGAAGGATATTCAGACAGCAAAATTAAGAAATCAATTGTAAGCATGAGAGGTATTCAGAGAAATATGGGTAACTCTGTGTTGCTGGCATATAAATGAAGAAGCAGGAAGTAGCAGAAAATGGAGGGATCTTCTTATAAACATGAAAGAATATTCATGATTTTTGTTACTGTTATTATTAGCACCAGATTGTATGAAGAATAAAATCTTATATTTGGGGTTTTATAATAGAGATGGAATGATTGACTCTTGCCACGTTCACTGATCTCAGTGGTGAGAGACAAAGTCTCCAATCCTGAGTCTTATATCATGGATATTTCTTCATCATTGACAATAAGGAAAAAGAAAAACTTAGGCAAAAATATGTGCTGCATTTCAGAAATAATAAGTAAACTACATGTTAAAATCACCATGTTTTGCATATAGTCTGTTGGATCAGAATCTTCAAAAACTAGATTAATTCTCTAAGCATTCTGCACACACACACAAGTTTAGATTGTAGGTGAGAACTGGAGACATAGACAGAAAACATGTTTGTTGTATGAGCCCTTGTCCATCACCGTGGGATAAATTTTCCATAATTGTCATTTCTTTCCTGCTTCCATGTAAACTCTAGAATCTTCTCTGTTTCAGGATATCTGTATTTTCTCTACTGTATACAGTGGTTAATCCTTGGTATAGTACAGCAAGAGTTAAATAAATTCTCCAGAGTTGAGAAAATTTATGAGATAAAATTCCAAAGTAAGTATAAACATCCAAGTCCAGCCCCTCATGAAGTCCAGATAGCATTATTACTGATAATGAATGAAGTCATCATATGTTCCTGTTAATTGTTAATTCTCTGTTTTATTTGCTGTCAGGAGACTAGAGTTATACTGATCAAATTATTTTGTTTACTTAATCATTTAGAATTATTTCCCTTCCTAAGCCTTCTTCCAGCTCACTATTTCTTGAATTTAGAGCTCACGCTGGAAAAGGGAGAAATAGGAGGAAATTCTGATTCATAAATAGACTTGTGGAATTAGTTATTAAGAAATGTTCAAAATGTAGAGTTTTTCAATCTTACAGTCTATAAATAGTACTTCTAGGGTCTCATCTGAACAAGAAACATGCACACACTCTCATAGAAAAGACGAGTCAAGTCTTTTTTCAGGAACCTGTGCTGATCACTCTATTCAACTGTTTTGAAAATAATGTTTAATTATATTTTTCGTTGCAACATGTATACGTACAAAATCTGAGTACTCAACCATGGAATAAATAAAGTTACTATGTTGCTTAACCAATTCTTTTTTTCTTTTGAGAGGAAGTCTTGCTCTGTCGTCCAGGCTGGAGTGCAGTGGCGTGATCTTGGCTCACTGCAACTTCTGCCTCCCAGGTTCAAGCAATTCTCTGCTTCAGCCTTCCGAATAGCTGGGATTCCAGGCACCCACCACCATGCCTGGCTAATTTTTGTATTTTTAATAGAGACTGGGTTTCATCACCTTGGCCAGGCTGGTCTTGAACTCCTGAACTCGTGATCCACTTGCCTCGGCCTCCCAAAGTACTGGGATTACAGGTGTGAGCCACCGTGCCTGGCCTAAGCAATTCTTTTTATTATGTTGTTTGGCCAAGTGCTTTTTAGGAAAACAGTTGTTATATGGGATGTGGAAAAAAATGTTCACATTTGAATATGGCTCTAAAAAACTGCCTCTTACTATCACAATTGAAATATTTTCATATATGCCACAATATCTCCAAGGCTCACCTCTTTTACATCTATAAAGAGAGAACGATGATATCTAACATGGTTGGCATACGATTGAAATGGATAATGAAGGTAGAAAAGCTTTGTCAGTTGTGAAATTTTCTATGTTTCTGTGTTGTTTTCTCCTGGTTGTTGATGGCAATGTTCTTTATACAACTAATGAAACAAAACAGAAAAGAAGAAAAAGTAAACAATCCAAAATTATGTGGGAGCTTTTTAGCCAAAGATCCATGGTTATCTGGGAAGAATTCTTTGTTCATAGTCACATGAAAAATAGCTTCTGATGATCTATCAACAGTTCCCACTGCTCTGATTTATGCCATAAAATCTGTATTCTTATCTAATGCAGGAATATACATTAAGTGATTGAATAGCAAATTTTGAGCAGCAGATGGGAGGGAAAGATCATATGTAACATAATAACACAGGAAGTTCCTATATTTGTTGACTTCCATGACATCCTATCAAATGTAGCTGGTAAGCTATTTTCTTCCCCTCTAGAGCCAGAGTAGTATTTAAATCACCTTTCTAGGTATTACGTGACAAACAACAGGAATAAATTCAGTTCACCAACAAGAAATGTGCAGATGAAAAATACAACTGGGAAGACAGAAGTCATTTGTTAAAGAGGATCACTATTTTGAAGAACATGCATTGCAATTCTGGAATTGCTTGGTGAACTATGGGAACAAAGTCTGTTACAGCTATTTCTGTAGGAAACTGCTACACTCCTTACCAGAACGGGTGTAACATTTTGTAAGTCCCAACAGCAACATATGAGTGATCCATTTTCTCTGTCAATATTTTGTGTTGTCACTTTTTCTTGTTTTAGACATTCTTATAGGTCTAAATAAGAAATAATACATTTCTTATAGGTCTCAATAAGAAATAAGACATTTCTTATTTTCTTATTTTAGGCATTCTGATAGGTATGTAGTGTCATCTCATCTCATTGTTTTAACTTGGATTTTCCTAAGAGTTAAAAATATTGAACTTTTTTTTTTTTTTTTGAGATTGGAGTCTCGCTCTGTCGTCCAAGCTGGAGTGTATTGGCACGATCTCAGCTCACTGCAAGCTCTGCCTCCTGGGTTCACGCCATTCTCCTGCCTCAGCCTCCTGAGTAGCTGGGACTACAGGTGCCCGCCACCACACCCAGCTAATTTTTTTTGTATTTTTTTTTTTTTTTTTTTAGTAGAGCCGGAGTTTCACTGTGTTAGCCAGGATGGTCTCGATCTCCTGACCTCGTGATCCACCCGCCTCAGCCTCCCAAAGTGCTGGGATTACAAGCGTGAGCCACCACACCCGGCCAGATTGAACATTTTTTATGTCCTTGTTTGCCATTGATATATCTTCTTCAGTGAAATGTCCCTTCAGTCTTTTGCCCATTATCTCACTGGATTTTTCTTTCGAGTTCTTTATATATTCTTGATACTAGTCCACTACTCCTTGGTCTGTGGATAACTGTCTTCTCCCTTTTTCTTCACATGGTCTTCCATGTGTGTGTAAGTGTGTGTTTACTAATTTCTTCTTATAAGGACACCAGTCATATTGGATGTAAGGTGTATTAGTTTGCTTGGGCAGCCATAACAAAGTATCATAGCCTGGGTGGAGTAAATTTAAAAAAAATTCTCACAGGTTTGGAGGCTGGAAATCTAAAATCAAGGTATTGGCAGGGTTGGTTTCCTTTGAGGGCCTTTCTCCCTGGTTTGTGGACAGCTGTCTTCTCCGTCTGTCTTCACATGGTCTTCCATGTGTAAGTGTGTGTTTACTAATTTCTTATAAGGACACCAGTCATATTGGATTGACGCCCATTCATATGACTTCATTTTCCCTTAATTACCTCTTTAAAGGCCCTATCTCAAAAAATCAGCCACACTCTAAGGTACTCTGGGTTAGGACTTCAACATGTAAATCTGGAGGAGGCACAACGAATTTAGTCTGTATCATGTGGTTTGCAAATATTTTCATCCAGTCTATAGTTTGCCTTTTTATCCTCTTAACAGAGTCCTTCACAGAGTAGTTTCAATTTTGATGAAATACAATTTATCAGTTTCATTTTATGGATCGTGGTTTTGGTATAAAGACTAACAACTCATTGTGTAGGTGCCAAAGTCTTTACTGGCTTTTCCTATATGATTTTGCCGTTTTTTTTTTGTTTGTTTGTTTGTTTTTACTGTCTTGTCCTTATGGTTTTACCTTTGACATTTAAGTTTGTCACCATCCTGGGTTGATTTTTAAATGAAATTTATTTTAATTTATATAAAATTTTCTTATCATTTTGGGTTAGATGTAATGGTTTGTGCTTTTGAGAAATAGGCCTGTTTCATCTATGTCGTCAAATTTTTGGGAGTAAAATTGTTCCTTGTATTCCTTTATTATATTTTGATGACTACAGTGCTAGACAGAATCACTGTAACAATGTCCCATTTGATTCCTGATATTGACAATTTTTGTCTCTTTTATCTTTTTTGTCAGTCTCACTAGTGGTTTATCATTTTTTTTTCATCTTTACAAGAACTATTTTAAAATTTATTTTTTGTTTTAAATTTCATTAATTTCTGCTTTATACTTTTTCTTTTCTTCTGCTTGTTAGGGGTTTATTTGGCTCTTCTTTTTCCAGGTTTTTAAGGTAGGAGCTTATAGATTTGAATTTCCCTCTCTGCTAACACAGCATTTAGTATTACAAATTTCTCTTTCAACTAAAGCAGTTTGGCACAATTTTGATATGTTGTATCTTCATTAAGTTCAATGTAATTACTATTTTTTTCTCTTGAAACTTGCTGTTTAACTCATGGTTCATTAGAAGTGTGTTTTTGAGTTGGAGATTTCCATTTACTCTTTCTGCTATTGATTTCTAATTTGATGCCATTGTGGTTTGAGAACATGTTCCATATGATTTTAATTATAAGTTTGTTGAGATGTTTTTTATGGTCAAAGATTTAAACTCTCCTTGAAATAATTCTGAGGGTTCTTGAAAATAATATGTGTTCTACTGTTTTGGAATGGCCTATAAAGTAGATTAGAGACAGTTGATTGATGGTGATATTTTCTCTGTAACCTTGATTTTCTTTCTAGTTGTTCTATCGATTAGTGAGACAGAGATATTAAATGCTCCAACTGTAATTATAGGTTTGTCTCTTCAACAATCAACTAGGAAATAAAAATAAAAGTTTACAGTGGGTATATTTAAATGATAAATGGGTATATTTAAATGATAAATATTTTCTACCATAATGCAAACAACACTTTAGTGTACCAACCAGCCATGACAGTGTACAAGTTGAGGCAAGTATTTTGGTGAAATTTCAAATTCATTCATGTTAATTCAAAGTGTTGTGGATTGTATAACCATATTAACCTAAATTTTTAATAAGTAGGGTCATGTGGCAAAATGTTATGCATGTAATGGTGACATTATTGACAGAGAATTTTTACTTGCAACTCTTATGATTTGACCTATGTCTTTTTTATGTCAGAGCATTTTCTTATTTTTTAATGCACATCTTCTGTATAACTCAAATGCATTTAACATTCAATATAAAATCACTGTTAAGAAGTGGGACTGTACGAATAGTGCACCAAACTCCATTTATATTTTTTCAGTACATTACACACTTTTAACTACAGCATAATTAGTAACTTTTATAATGCAGACTATTTTTAGAAATTTCAAAACAACAGAATAAAATAAACTTGTACAAATTGGGTCATTATTCAGTCTTATATTTTCAACAAATTCATCATTGTCACATAAAAATAATTCTTCCTAGGATATCATTAGGTGTTTAAAGAATATTTAAAGGATTTCTTATTTGCTTTTATAGTTCATTGTTTCACAAAGCTTGATCCCCTGACCACTTTTATCAGTCTCTCCCAAGAGCTCATTAAAACCTATATAACTAGATGCCAATAGGTTTGCTGAATTAGCATCTCTGGGCCAGAGCCTGGGGAATTCTGGAAAATAAGTGTGTTAAGCGAGGTCCCCAAGTGGCTTCCATGCATGCTAAAATTTGAAGATCCTTCCCTAATTGCTTAACATCCAATGCAGACCATCAATTTGTAATTTAAAATGCAAATGAATAGAATTATATTTAGACTTTTCTCTTTGCTGTAACTTGTTCTATTCTCTACTATGTTTTACATTTAAAACTGTACACAATTATTATTCAACAGATTTTTTGCAATTCTGATAACATCATGTACTTTTTAAAAACTTTTTTTCTTTTATTTCCATTCCTCTAAATTACTCTTCTTCTCTGTCACATTAGGATGGTAAATTATCTGGAGGCTGTTTCAATGACATTAGTGAGTTCAACATTTATTTTTTGTCTTCTTTTGAATTAGTAATACCAATCTGTTGGATTTTCACAACTTCCTTTAAGATATATCTGATATTTAACATCATTTACAGAGATAATTATTGTAAATTAACACTGCTGTGCCCTATATAACTATGATAGGATTATGTATGATTTGACTATTATGACAATTAAAACGTTTGGAGTTAGTTATTCTGGAAGTTTATGTACAGGCTAGAAACTTATTTCTCTGGTGTCTTTTTCTGCACAGTGGTATTTCTGCCAGTGGCTATGAGTAGAATTTACCAGAAAGACCTAGCATTGTTGGAGAGCCACTGAGATTATATCCATTTTGAACAAATTCAGTCTTCTTAGAAATCTTTTTCTACAAACTACACTTAAGCTATGGCATCCACTTAAAAGAAGAGGAGCTATGGCCAAGACCAAACTCTCTAGGGCTTATTCTTCCTGCACTTGAACTACTCACTTTGGCAAATTGCATTATGTTTTACAATTGTTGGATAACTTCCTTTAGAAAGAAGTATACATCTCTGCCCATAGCTATGTGACTTCAAGTACCTCCTTGAAGGTGGAGTATACATTTCCACCCCATTATCTGGCTTGGCCATGTTGTTGATGTGGGCCAGTAGAGTGTGAGGAAAAGTGACAGAGTGCTAATTTTGAGCAGAAGTGCTAAGTGGCACCCATGTCTCCCCTCCTGTCATTCTTTTCTCTCTGCCACTGAAGGTCGCCTAAGGAGAAGACACAGGAGTAATGAGAAGACACAGGAGGTAGAGCAGCACTTGCTGACTCAGAAGCATTAACATGAAACGTGAGTAAAACAAATATGCTTCCTATAAATCATCGATATGTAAGATTGTTACTGAAGCAAAGTGGAGTAATATACTGAGTTGTGTGTGGACATTAATGCTATGGTGATGTGACCTATTATCTTAAGAGGGGGTTTCGGCCATGCACAGTGGCCTGTACTTCCAGGACTTTGAGAAGTTGAGGTGGGCGGATCACTTGAGGTCAGGAGTTCAAGACCAGCGTGGTCAACATGGTGAAACCCTATCTCTACTAAAAATCCAAAAAAAAAAAAAAAAATTAGCTGGGCGTGGTTGCGCACACCTATAATCCCAGCTACTTGGGAGGCTGAGGCAGGAGAATTACTTGAACCTGGAGGCGGAGGTTGCAGTGAGCTGAGATCGTGCCATTGCACTCTAGCCTGGGCAACAAGAGCGAAACACTGTCTCAACAACAACAAAAAAAATTAGCCAGATGGTGGTGGGTGCCTGCAGGCCCAGCTACTTGAGAGGCTGAGGCAGGAGAATCACTTGAATGTGGTAGGTGGAGGTTGCAGTGAGCCAACATCAGGCCACTGCACTCCAGCCTGGGCAACAGAGCTAGACTCTGCCTCAAAAAAAAAAAAAAAAAAAAAAAAAAAAAAAAAAAAAAAAAAAGGCGGTTTCCAGCTAGATGCTGCTAGTAGGCACATGTAAATCACAGTTTCATATTTCTATAATTGTAACATATTTTATAGTGAGTATTTTAAGAACACTTTTGCACTTGCTGACCTTTCTCTAATAACATCTCTTCTCCCCAACCTTACGTATTGTCTCTAATAACATCTCTTCTCCCCAACCTTACGTATTGCTCCACAACTTTTTCTAACCCTACTATCAAACTTTCACTCTCTGACTTTTCTTTATAACACATTTAGCATTACTGATAAATTAGAGCTGTATTTCTTATAAACACTATCAGGAAAAGTCAAAGACTTTTGACTTATCCATTGAAGTATGTCTTTTCTTATGGTGTTTATATCTGCAGTAGAATAGAGAATCACTTCTATTGCCAAAGATTACTATCATAAAATATATTTTAAGCACCCTAGTACAGTTGTTACTCTATTTGAGGCAGTAAGAGGGTATGTAGTTGAGAAGAGGCAAATAAAAAGGAGAAGAATTCTGATCATCATTGGAACCTTTGAGTATAACTTAAAGTACACTGCTGTACCAAAAACTATGAGCACTGATAAATCCAAGTATCATGGGAAAATTTCTATTGACTTGGAAAAAGCTATGGATTGCAAATAGTTTACTCTTGATTCACCTAATGGTCAAGTTCTTCAAAATTTGTCTTATATCTTTGGATTTGAAGTTAGTTGAAAAATAAAACAACCATGAGAATATGTTTCTCATGCTGATTCTACAGAAATAAACACTTAAAATATATGTACTGAACATGACCATGTTCATGATAATGCCTTCATTCCATCTTTGGAAATGCTCTATTCCTTACCTTGCTCACAAACTTCCATAACTAATTAGAGTCTGAGGTGGTGTCTCCTTGCAATAATTGGTCATCTTTGCCCATGAAGTTTTGAGATCTGGGATCTGATTGTCATTTCTTTGCTCATGGTCTCTGCCAAAAATCTAATTCAATTAACAACTCAGGTAAAGGACCAGAAATCCAAACCAAGCCAAAAGCCTTCCAATCACTTTGCAACTTATATGAGATCTTGCCTCTGGCTACAAAAAGTTTATTTTTTTCCAAGCAGATATACTGTATATTTTGTAGGATTGTAGCCTAAGCTGAGAAGGATTAAAGGTGTTTTCATTACAACCTGGCTGGTCTTTCCTTGGAAAAGGGAGTCTAGCTCTTAGTACACATGCATTTTTTTTTTTAAAGAAGAGCTTTCATTTGTGTTTCTCTCACTATGATTACATGGGAACACTGGCTGAGTTTCTCAATTAAACTTAGTAACATGCTTTTTCCTACACTGATACATAGCAAATCTGTGCTATTCAGTGAGCCTTTCTTGCTACTTTTGTCCTGTTGGCCATCAGGCTAGTCAAGGGCCGTTGGAAACAAAACAACAAGCAGAGGAAATAGATTCTGACTAATAAGTATAGGCTCAAAAGGTGAGTCTGCATCATACGAGAGGCACAGGTGGACAGTCAGGGTGCATTTCTTCTCTGTTAGGTTCAGCTTTCATTATCCACTTCTAAAAGACTTCTATTTGTGTCTTGGGCTTTGGTCAATGGAATGTACAAATATGAATTTGTAGCATGGTAGTAGAATAAGGAGACTGAATGTACATATGGGTCAATTCAGTTTGCTATAATGAAATAAAATAGACTGGGTGGCTTGAACAGCAGCCATGTATGTCATATAGTTCTGGAGGCTGCTTGAACAGCAGCCATGTATGTCATATAGTTCTGGAGGCTGGAAATCCAAGATTAGGGTGCCACCATGGTCAGGTTATTGGTGAGGGTCTTCTTCCTGGCCGTGTCCTTCTCATGGCCTTTCCTTGGTGTGTACATGCAGAGAAAGAGATCTCACATATTTTCATCTTTTTATAAGGGCATTATCCCAATCATGGGAGCCCCACCCCTAGAATTACATCTAATCCTAATTACCTGTGAAGGGCTCCACCTCTAAGAAACATCACATTAGGAATTAGGATTTCAACATACGAATTTTGCAGGGACACAAACATTCATTCTGTAACATTGAAACACAAATCACTTTAAGTATGTACAGTTCAATTAAATAGATTTGTAATAGGCTATGTGAATGCTTCAATTTGTCTTGATAAGTTAGTTAGTTAGCGGAAAATATTAGAGTGTTCCATTACCAGGGGAGGCTAATATCATCCTGGAAGTAGAGGACATTTCAACTCTCTTGACTAGAATATACAGGAGCAGGCAGAGTAAGGGCTGTCAAAAGACCATTTGATGGCTAAGGGCAGTAAGACGAAAAATCATATTTGGACAAAGTAGAATCTAACTGTGGGAGCTGGCTCTATACTTCTTTGAAGGCTTTGTTTCACCTTCATTTTCCAACACTAGTGCTATCTTATGGAAACTTTTTTTCTGGTGGAAAATTCTCCCATTTGCCAGTCAACAACATACTTCCAGCCAGATGATCAGACCAATATATTTTAATAGCATTCTAGATATAATCACACATAAGGTAGAATGAAAATGAAGTTAAGCCTTATTTGTATTAAATTCATATAAAATTTGAATTATAACTTTTAATTTCTGGATTATGCATAACTGATTACGTATGACATTTTGAAAATGGTTCCCTACAAACATGGCAAATGAATCAATTGTACAATAAAGGAAAAGAGATATTAAAGGAATTTTTTTCTGTTCATTTAATTGTATATTATTTATTATATTAATATTTGTTGATGGACTACTTCTAGGCTGGGTACCTCAACAGAGTCTTTCTTTTTGTGACACAGGCTGGAGTGCAGGGCACAATAATGGTTGACTGCAGCCTCAACCTCCAGGGCTCAAGGGATCCTTCCACCTCAGCCTCCCCAGTAGTTGGGATTACACAGGTATGCCACAACACCAAGCAATTTTTTTTTTTTTTTTGGTGGAGATGAGGTCTTGTTCTATTGCCCAGACTGGTATTAAACTCCTCAGCTCAACCAATCCTCCTGCCTCAGCTTCTCAAATTGCTGGGACTACAGGTGTGAGCCACTGTGCCCAGCCCTTTATTGCCTTTTAAAAGCTTGCAAACTCACTGTTTAATACTATTTAGTAAGAGAAAGATAGAAGTTTAAAAAATAACTTTATACATTGCTTTCCAACATAGACGTATTGTGAGCCAGGAATGCAAGTCACATATATAATTTTAAATTTTTGAAAAGCAACATTAAAAAGGAAAACATGTAGTTGAGATTAATTATGACATTATGTATTTATTTCACCCAATATTTACAAAAATTATTTCAAGATAGAAAGAAATTATTGATGAGATTTTTACATTCTTATTTTTTCTATATTATGTCTTTAAATTCTGCTGTATACTTTACACTTACAGTATATCTCAATATGGAATAGCTACATTTCATTGCTTTTATAGCCATATGTAGCTAGGTGCTTCTGTAGTAGACATTGCCCTATAAAAACTTACTCAGAATAAAATTCATATTCTATTTAGTCTTGGTAAACTGCATAATAACCTGTCTTGACAAAAACGAAGTAAAATGAATTGTCAATAGAAATCAAAGTTGGAATATAGAACCTCACTAGAAATAATAAATTATTTACCTTACTACACTAAATTCAAAACTTATTTGAATGAATAGCTAAATAAAAATTCCTCGAAGTTAGTTTTAAATTATTAGGTGGAGCTTGTTGGCAAGACAAAAAAATGACCACTAGAGATATGTCACTTAATTTCACATGCTTTCAATTTAATCAGAGTAACACAATCACTAAACTTTTTGCCATAATATTAATTCTAGTACATCCATATTTGCAGTCCCATGAGCACTGTTCTTAACAAAGACCCTACACATCGAGATCATTAAAGATCTTACTTAGAACATAGTATTTAGACACATACATGTATTCAAGTATATATATATCCATATAAGTGTATATATATATACTCATATATATACACACATTGAGTATATATATATACACTCATATATTTACACACTAAGAGTGTGTGTGTATATATATGTAAGTATATATATGTGTGTGTGTATATGTATATATATATACTCTTAAGCAAAATATTCAAATATACAGAACTCTTATTATCTGCATATGCCCGATGATGCAAAATTGACTTCTTAGTATTAAAAAATGCATAGGTAAATTCTTCCATAAGTGGATTTCCTCCTTTTTTCTTAAACCAAAGGACAATAACCAATAGGTCATCATTTGTAATATTTCACATATTAGTGGTTTTGTGAGTTTAAGAAAGAAATCATATATAAAGAATAATTTAATTTGATGAATTTTGAAATCCCGTATTCTTGAAAGGATTTTGCTTCTGATAATTTTCCAATTGGGAAAATCATCTTCAAAAGGGTTTGGCTAAAAGCCTAGAGATAAATAGGCTTTTAATAAACATAATTTTCCTTTTTAATTGTTTTGGTTGGAGAATGAGAAAACTTTATTCTGCATTAGTAGTCAATATTTGTTCATGGAAATTCTCTCATATTGCCATTCAACTTCAGCATTCACAGTGGTCTAAGCAGCACTTCATAATACCAAACTTAACTGTGGCTGCAATTTTTTATTAATTTTTATGTTTGTTGCATTGGAGAGAAAGGGTTATTTTTGAAACATAAAAGCTTAGGAAAGATTTTACAAATTGGAATTTAAGCAAAGCATTGTTCTCTTGGTTTACTCCAACAATTTAAGGGTAATTAGAAATGTAAACTTCCAACGCCAATGAGAGAAATGACTTCAGTGTGTCATCCAGCCAGAATTACTTGCATAGTCCAAGTTAACATATTTTATTTCCAATGAGGATAATATTAGAATACAATTTTATCCAGAATTATGATGGAAACATTTTATTTCTTTCATGGAACAACGGTATTTAACAAAATAATGGGTAAAGAATAAACTAGGATCTCTAAAGCTCTGAAAAATCTATTAAATATTAAATGAATTCCCATGTGTGTAAAATTTTAGGTGATTTGCTCATTTCTTTATTTACAAATCGATATTCCCAGGACTATATTTAAACTTACTGAACAGAACACTAGTTAATTAAAATCTACATTTTAGATTTGTATACCCTTCCCCCAATTAACAGTAACATGCTGCTCAATGTTGTGAATAAAATATATCTAAAATATTTATATTCTTTATGAATAAATATAAATTTTTAAATAAACTTATAACATCTTATAAATATAAAAAAATTATACATCAATTTTAATAATTCTTAATAAATTATTTATAATGAATTTATATAATATTAACCCTTTTCTATACTGAAAAATTTTATCAGGTAATTAAAATAAATGGTTTACAGATTCAAAGAGTTCTATATGACAAATAAAGACAAAAAACCCTAGACTTTCAAAAGGCAGATATAATATTGCTTTTCCAGAGAGGTGTTTATCTCCCTATTTCTAAATAAAGTACTTATATAATTATTTCTGAATTTCTAGTATTAGATATTATCTATCATATCTCCTACAGTTAAGGATAAAGATTGAGCTCTCCTATTCCTTAGCCCAGCCCCCCAAGGGACACATGTACATATTCTTCCCTATTCTCTATTTTTAATTAATTTATTCTTTTGAAAACAGTCCCTATTGCATGTCAGGTATTATTGTGAGTTCTGGTAATTGATAAAAGTCCCTGTGCTCATGGAGCTTACATATTATTGGAGGAAGGTAGAAATAAATAACTACATTACATAGTGCATTCGAAGGTGGTAAGTGCTACTAAAATAAATAAATAAATAAATAAATAAATAAATAAATATATATATATGCCAGGTATAGGGATGAGGAGTATAAGGGTGGGGGAAGAATTGAATTTTAAAATAGGTAGGTCTCTCTGAACAATTCCCATCTGAGCTTTAGAGGCAGGTCAAGCAGCCAGTGTGAATATCTGAAGTGGAATATGCCGGGTTGGGGGAGCCAAGGAGACCAGTGGTGCTGGAGCAAAATGAACAAGGGGGAAGTCATGGAGGGAGGAGGGAGTGGAGATCACATAGAGTTACATATGCAAGACACCGATTAGCTTTTTCTCTGAATGAGATGGAGAGCCATTGGAGTTTTGAGCAGAAAAGTGACATGCATTCACAAAAATAACTGTGGCTGCCCTGTTGTGAATAGGCGATGATGGACCGAAGTATAAGAACCATTAGGACACTGTTGCAATAACCCAGAAGAGAAAATGGGGGCTTGGGCTGGGGAGGTAGCTGGAGAGGTGATGAAAAATGACTGGATACTGGAAACATTTTGAGATAGAATCGAGAGGATTTCCTTATGGATTTCTATTGCTTCTGACGGATCATGGGGTAACTCAAGGATTCATCCAAGATTTTTGGCCAGAATATCAAGAAGAACAGAATTATTACTTAGTTTGAAAGGAAGGTGAATAAAGCAGAGCTTTGGGGAGGGGGCAAGAGGAGAAGAAAAGAATTCACTTTGGAAATTTAAGATGCTGTTTAGACATTCTGGGTAGAGATGTTTGAATAAAGATTTGGATAGACCAATCAAGAATTCAGAGACATAGAGCTATATCATCAGCATGCATATGGATTTAAAGCCACACACTGGAAAAGATCATTCAGGATGTGAGTGTAGAGAGAACATAAGATACTTGTGGATGAAACTCTATGGATTTTCATTGTTAAAAGTTTAAATAAAAGGGCAGAATATAGCAAAGGAGGTAACTAAGGACCATGCCACTGTGAGGCAGGAGGATCAGTGCTTGGTATTCTGCAAGCTACTCTCCCTTCCATTCAGTTCCTCTGGAGAGTGCACGTCCCATCTCCTATAACAGGGGAGAAAAGTAGTTACCTACATCTTTGAAATGACAGGGGTTTCTGGAAGAGCTTATCATTTAAGTCCTATCCTGTCCCCTGACATTTAAAATGCATGTGAGGCCTTTATTTCCTGATCTTTTCTGAGTTCAGAGACTGGAATTAGCTTTTATTTTCCCTAGTATTTCTTCCCAGAATGAATTCCATTTTTAGATGTCTCTGGTATGCCAAGTCATTTATCACTTTTTCATCTATTCGCCAACGATTCTAAAATAGATTGCTAGAATGTGGATTATGAGATAAAGGAATATGAAGAAACTTGTGATTTGTGAAATATACAAGAAATGGCCTCTATAGATATTGCACTAAAGAGAATTTCTTCTTCCTTTCTTACAGTTATTCCACTGATTGAAATCTGTGATACTTAATAGCTCTTATGTCTAATCATATCAATATGCAGCTGGATTGATACACTCCTGCAGGTGGTTGGGGCTCCTTCACTGCCATGTATGTCCCTTTTGTTGCAGATATTTCAAGATTCAGCATCATTTCAGACCCTGAAAAATCCCTGAAAATTGAATTCTCAATAGATAATGCAACTCCACATAATATCTGGATTTTGTAAATGCTTGCTAATAAATTATTTTACAACGTGGGTGAGTTTAGGTGTGTAGGTGATTTCCACACATTGAGAGCCAAAACATCAAATTTTAATGTTGGTCTGGTGAAAGAGACATAATATTTGATGGTTCATGAAGAATACTACAACATAATAAGCATTTTAGATCCAGGGTTATTTCTTTGTATGACTTATTTCCTTTTATGGCCATCAATCCAAATTTTAAAAATAATTTTTTAATATATTTAAGATGTTGTCATGTGTCCTAAAATGACAAAAATAAATTAGACACATGTTTAATCATCATTCCAGTTTGGTTTATTCACTCATATTTTATTGCATAAAACAAGTCAAATTATTTAGCATGATGTCAAAGTCTTAAGTGTAAACCTCTTGGGGGAAACAGCAAAGAATTGGGAAGAATATTACAGTCTATCATGTGAATTTCATCACCACAATCAGAAACTAACACAAAACCCAGAAGAAACCCTAAGAAAGATACCTGTAACCTGAAGAAGATGTAGACTAGATGCCAAAGACAGAGAATGATCTGAATGGAAAATTTTGCAGCTAAACTATTTTCCCTTTTTTGTATGTATCAGGGCAAAACAGTGCCTAATTTTCTCCTCATTTTCTATCATGAGGCAAGAAAACACATCTGTCAAATGTGGCAGGGTAACCTCAGAGAAAAGCTGGAGACAAGCTATGGTCATAAATGTATGCTAAATAGATGGTTCAACATAAGAAAATGTAACAAGTTAATTCAACACATTCATAGACTTGACTTCAAGAGAAAATTTAGGCAGCATTGCAATAGAAGCAGAAACACATTTGAAAAAGTCCAGTATTTATTTGTTAAAAACTCATACCAAATTGTAAAGAACATTGATGCTATGAAGAAACTGCATCAACTAGTGGGCAAAATAATCAGCTAGGCTTCATAATGGCAGGATTAAATGCATACCTAACACTATTAACCTTAAATGTAAATGGGCTAATTGCCCCAATTAAAAGACACAGACTGGCAAATTGAATAAAGAATCAAGACCCATCAGAGTGCTGTATGCAGGAGACCCATCTCATGTGCAAAGACACACATAGGCTCAAAATAAAGGGATGGAGGAATATTTACCAAGCAAATGGAAAGCCAAAAAAAAAAAAAAAAAAAATGCAGGGGTTGCAATCCCAGTCTCTGATAAAACAGACTTCAAACCAACAAAGTTCAAAAGAGACAAATAAGGGCATTACATAATGGTAAAGAGATCAATGCAACAAGAAGAATTAACTATCCAAAATATATGCACCCAATACAAGAGCACCCAGATTCATAAAGCAAGTTCTTAGAAACCTACAAAGATACTTAGACTCCCACACAATAATAGTGGGAGACTTTAAGACACCACTGTCAATATTAGACAGATCAACAAGTCAGAATATTAACAAGGATATCCAGGATTTGAACTCATCTCTGGAACAAGTGGACCTAATAGACATCTACAGATCTCTCCACTCCAAATCAACAGAATATACATTCTTCTCAGCACCACACTGCACTTATTCTAAAGTTGACCACATCATTGGAAGTAAAACACTTCTCAGCAAATGCAAAAGAACGGAAATCATAACAAACTGTCTATCAGACCACAGTGCAATCAAATTAGAACTCAGGATTAAGAAACTCACTCAAAATTGCACAACTACATGGAAACTGAACAACCTGCTCCTGAATGACTACTGGGAAAATAACGAAATGAAGGCAGAAATAAAGATGTTCTTTGAGACCAACAAGAACAAAGACACAACGTACCACAATCTTTGGGACACATTTAAAGCAGTATGTAGAGGGAAATTTATAGTACTAAATGCCCACAAGAGAAAGCAGGAAAGATCTAAAATCGCCACCCTAACATCACATTTAAAAGAACTAGAGAAGCAGGAACAAACAAATTCAAAAGCTAGCAGAAGTCAAGAAATAAGTAAGATCAGAACAGAACTGAAAGAGAGAGAGACACAAAAAACCCTTCAAAAACTCAATGAATCCAGGAACAGGATTTCTGAAAAGATCAACACAATTGATAGACCACTAGCCAGACTTATAAAGAAGAAAAGATAGAAGAATCTAATAGATGGAATAAAAAATGATAAAGGGGATATCAACACCAATCCAACAGAAATAAAAACTAGCATCATAGAATACTATAAACACTTCTATGCAAATAAACTAGAAAATCTAGAAGAAATGGATAAGTTCCTGGACATATACACCCTCCCAAGACTAAACCAGGAAGAAGTCGAATCCCTGAATAGACCAGTAACAAGTTCTGAAATTGAGGCAGCAATTAATAGCCTACCAACCAAAAAAAAAGTCTAGGACCAGACGGATTCACAGCCAAATGCTACCAGAGGTACAAAAACGAGCTGGTACCATTTCTTCTGAAACTATTCTAAACAACAGCTATCCCTAACTCATTTGATGAGACCAGCATCATCCTGATACCAAAACCTGGCAGAGACACAATAAAAAAGAAAATCAAAACCACAATGAGATACTATCTCACACCAGTTAGAATGGCGATCATTAAAAAGTCAGGAAACAACAGGTGCTGGAGAGGATGTGGAGAAACAGGAACACTTTTACACTGTTGGTGGGACTGTAAACTAGTTCAACCATTGTGGAAGTCGGTGTGGTGCTTCCTCAGGGATCTAGAACTAGAAATACCATTTGACCCAGCAATCCCATTACTGGGTATAAACCCAAAGGATTATAAATCATGCTGCTATAAAGACACATGCACACATATGTTTATTGCGGCACTGTTCACAATAGCAAAGACTTGGAACCAACCCGAATGTTCAAAATGATAGACTGGATTAAGAAAATGTGGCACATATACATCATGGAATACTATGCAGCCATAAAAAATGATGAGTTCATGTCCTTTGTAGGGACATGGATGAAGCTGGAAACCATCATTCTCAGCAAACTATCGCAAGGACAAAAAACCAAACACTGCATGTTCTCACTCATAGGTGGGAATTGAACAATGAGAACACATGGACACAGGAAGGGGAACATCACACACCAGTGCCTGTTGTGGGGTGGGGAGAGAGGGGCGGGATAGCATTAGGAGATACACCTAATGTTAAATGTTGAGTTAATGGGTGCAGCACACCAACATGGCACATGTATACATATGTAACTAACGTGCACGTTGTGCACATGTACCCTAAATCTTAAAGTATAATTAAAAAAAAAGAAAAAAAGAAAATTTCAGGCCAATATCCCTGATGAACATCGATGTGAAAGTCCTCAATAAAATACTGGCAAGCCAATTCCAGCAGCACATCAAAAAGCTTATCCACCATGATCAAGTCAGCTTCGTCCCTGGGATGCAAGACTGGTTCAACATACACAAATCAATAAACGTAATCCATCATCACATAAACAGAACCAGTGACAAAAACCACATGATTATCTCAATAGATACAGTAAAGGCCTTAGACAAAATTCAACAGCCTTTCATGCTAAAAACTCTCAATAAACTAGGTATTGATGGAATGTCTCTCAAAATAATAAGAGCTATTTATGACAAACCCACATCCAGTATCATACTGAATGGGCAAAAACTGGAAGCATTCCCTTTGAAAACTGGCACAAGACAAGGATGCCCTCTCTCACCACTCCTATTCAACATAGTGTTGGAAGCTCTGGCCAGGGCAATCAGGTAAGAGAAATAAATAAAGGGTATTCAAATTAGGAAAAGAGGAACTCAAATTGTCTCTGTTTGCAGATGACATGATTGTATATTTAGAAAACCCTTTCGTCTCAGCCCAAAATCTCCTTAAGCTGATAAACAACTTCAGCAAAGTCTCAGGATAGACAATCAATGTGCAAAAATCACAAGCATTCCTATACACTAAGAGCAGACAAATAGCCAAGTCATGAGTGAAATCCCATTAACAATTGCTAAAAAGAGAATAAAATACCTAGGAATACAATTTACAAGGGTTGTGAAGTACCTCTTCAAGGAGAACTACAAACCACTGCACAAGGAAATAAGAGAGGACACAGATAAATGGAAAAACATTCCGTGCTCATGGATAGGAAGAATCAATATCGTGAAAATGGCTGTACTGCCCAAATTAATTTATAGATTCAATGCTATCCCCATCAAACTACCATTGACTTTCTTCACAGAATTGGAAAAAATTACTTTAAATTTCATATGGAACCAAAAAAGAGCCCACATAGCCAAGACAACCCTAAGCAAAAAGAACAAAGCTGGAGGCATCACGCTACCTGACTTCAAACTATGCTACAAGGCTACAGTAACCAAAACAGCATGGTACTGCTACCAAAACAGATATATAGACCAATGGAACAGAACAGAGGCCTCAGAAATCATGCCACACATCTACAACCATCAGATCTTTGACAAACTTGACAAAAACAAGCAATGGGGAAAGGATTCCCTATTTAATAAATGGTGTTGGGAAAACTGGCTAGCCATATGCAGAAAGCTGAAACTGGATCCCTTCCTTATGCCTCATACAGAAATTGACTCAAGATGGATTGAAGACTTAAACATAAGACCTAAAACCATAAAAACCCCAGAATAAAACATAGGCAATACCATTCAAGATGTAGGCATGGGCAAAGACTTCATGACTAAAACACCAAAAGCAAGGGCAACAAAAGCCAAAATTGATAAATGGGATCTTATTACACTGAAGAGCTTCTTCACAGCAAAAGAAACTTTCATCAGAATGAACAGGCAACCTACAGAATGGGAGAAAATTTTTGCAATCTATCCAACTGACAAAGGGCTAATATCCAGGATCTACAAATAACTTACACAAATTTACAAGAAAAAAACAAACAACCCCATCAAAAAGTGGGCGAAGGCTATGAACAGATGCTTCTCAAAAGAAGACATATATGCAGCCAACTAACATATTTAAAAAAGCTAATCATCACTGGTCATTAGAGAAATGCAAATCAAAACCACAGTGAGATACCATCTCATGCCAGTTAGAATGGCGGTCATTAAAAAGTCAGGAAACAACAGATGCTGGAGAGGATGTGGAGAAATAAGAATGCTTTTACACTGTTAGTGGGAGTGTAAATTATTGCACCATTGTGGAAGACAGTGGGATGATTCCTCAAGGATCTAGAACTAGAAATGCCATTTCACCAAGCAATCCCATTACTGAGTATATACCCAAAGGATTATAAATCATGCTGCTGTAAAGACACATGCACACGTATGTTAATTGTGGCACTGTTCACAATAGCAAAGACTTGGAACCAACCCAAATGCCCATCAACGATAGACTGGATAAAGAAAGGTGGCACATATACACCATGGAATACTATGCAGCCATAAAAAAGGATGAGTTCATGTCCTTTTCAGGGACGTGGATGAGGCTGGAAACTGTCATTCTCAGCAAACTAACACAGGAACAAAAAACCAAACACAGCATGTTCTCACTCATAGGTAGTTGGACAATGAGAACACATGGTCACAGGGAGGGGAACACCACACACCGGGGCCTGTCATGGGATGGGGGACTAGGGGAGGGATAATAACAGGAGAAATACCTAATGTAGATGATGGGTTGATAGGTGCCACAAACAACCATGGCACATGTATACCTATGTAACAAACCTGCACTTTCTGCACATGTACCCCAGAACTTATAATAACTAAAAAAAAAAAAAACTCATAAAATTTTTAATACAAGAGAACTTCTTCAACTTCATAAGTCCTACCAAAAGTCTGTTGTATGTACTAATATAATTATTTTAGGGCATTCCCTTTAATTAAGGGAAAAGATACGATGATCATCAATATCACTTCTTCTGGGCATAGTATTGGAGAGCTTGGCAAATTTCACAAGATGAAAAAAAAACAGATATAAATACTTGGAAGGAAATACAATCTATTACCTTTTGGAGATGCTGTTATCACCCATAGAAAAGGCTAATCAAATAAACACAATGCCATCAGGACTTATAAGCAAATTTTACAAGGGTGTTAATAAGTGATGAACAACCACACACACAAATATTCAAAATGAATATCTGCAAACTATGCAAGGTCTAATATCTAGAATCTATAAGGAACTTAAATTAACAATCAAAAGCCAAATAACCCCATTAAAAAGTGAGCAAAAAATATGAACAAACAGTTATCAAAAGAAGACATACAAGTGGCCAACAAGCATGAAAAACTGCTTGTAGTCGTCCCTTTTCACACAGATATAAAGAACTGCCTGAGTTTGGATAATTTATAAAGGAAAGAGGTTTAATTGACTCACAGTTCTGCATGGCTAGGGAGGCCTCATGAGACTTACATTATGGCAGAAGGTGAAGGGGAAGCAACGCACTTCTTACATAGAAGCAGGAGAGAGAGAGTGACGTAGGAACTGTCAAACACTTTTAAACAATAAGAACTCACTATCACAAGAACAACATGGGGGACCCCACCCTACACCGATCTAATCACCTCCCTCCTAGTCTCTCCCTCAACACGTGGGGATTACAGTAGGAGATGGAATTTGAGTGGGGACACAGAGCCAAACCATATCATTCTGCCCATGCCCCCCTCTGAAATCTCAGGTCATTTTCACATTTCAAAACACAATCATGTCTTCCCAAGAATCCCCCAAAGTTTTAACTCACTGCAGCATTAACCCAAAAGTCTAAGTCCAAAGTCTCCTCTGAGATGAGGGAAGTCACTTTCATCTATGAGCCTTTAAAATCAAACACAAATTAGTTACTTCTAGGATGCAATGTGGGTACAGGCACCGGGTAAATATTCTCATTGCAAATTGGAGAAATTGGCCAAAGTAAAGGGATGACAGGCCCATGCAAATCCAAAATACAGAGAGGCAGTCATTAAATCTTAAAGCTTTGAAATAATCTCCTTTGAGTCTATGTCTTGCATCAAGGGATGCTAATGCAAACACTAGGTTCCCAAGCCCTTGGGCAGCTCCTCCCCTGTGGCTCTGCAGAGTACAGCCCCTGCAGCTGCTTTCACAGGCTGGCAATGAGCACCTGAGGCTTTTCCAGGTGCATGTGCAAGCTGTTGGTGGGGTCTGGAGGATGGTGGCCCCTTTCTCACAGCTCCACTAGGCAGTGCCCTAGTGGTATCTCTGTTTAGGAGAAACAACCTACACATTTTTCCTCTTCATTGCCCTAGTAGAGGTTCTCCATGAGGGCCCTGCCTCTGCAGCAGACTTCTGCCTGGACATCCAGGCATTTCCATACATCCTTTGAAATCTAGGCATTGTGCTCCCTTGTCTTCTGCATACCTGCAGGCCCAACCCCACATGGAAGCCACCAAGGTTTGGGTCTTGCACACTCTGAAGCAACAGCCCCAGTTGCACCTGGGCCCCTTTTAGCTATATCTGCAGCTGGAGCTGCTGGGTTGCAGGGCACCAAGTCCTGAGTCTGCACAGAGTAGCAGGGCCCTGGGCCTGACCCATGAAATCATTTTTCCCTTCAAGGCCTCTGAACCAGTGATGGAAGGGGCTGTCGTGAAGATCTCGACATGCCCTGGAGACATTTTCTCCATTGTCTTGGCTATTAACATTTGGCTCCTCATTTACTTATGCAAATTTGTGCAGGTGGATTGAATTTCTCCCCAGAAAATGGGTTTTTATTTTCTACCTCATGGTCAGGCTGTAAATTTTCCAAACTTTTATGCTCTCTTCCCTTTTAAATAAAAGTTTCAGTTTCAGATACTCTCTTTGCGAACATGTATGACTGAATGCTCTCAGAATCAGCCAGGTCACCGCTTGAATACTTTGCTGCTTAGAAATTTCTTCCACCAGATGCCCTAAATTATCTCTCTCAAGTCCAAATTTCCATAGATCTCTAGGGAAGAGCAAAATGTCACCAGTCTCTTTTCTAAAGCATAGCAAGAGTGACCTTTACTCCAGTTTCCAGTAAGTTACTTATCTCCACCTGAGACCACCTCAGCCTGAACTTCACTTTTCATATTACTATCAGCATGTTAGTCAAAACCATCCAACAAGTCTCTAGGAAGTTCGAAATTTTCCCACATCCTCCTATCTTATTATGAGCCTTCTAAACTGTTCCAACCTCTGTCCATTACCCAGTTCCAATGTCGCCTCCACATTTTCAGGTTAACTTTATAGCAGTGCCACACTCCTGGTACCCATTTCCTATATTAGTCCATTTCACATTGCTATAAAGAACTACCTGAGACTGGGCAATTTTAAAAGGAAAAAGGTTTAATTGGTTCATAGTCCTGTATGGCTGGGAAGGCCTCAGGAAACTTACAATCATGGTGGAAGGTGAAGGGGAATCAAGGCCCATGTCTTACATGACAGCAGGACAGAGAGAGAGCTAGGAACTGCCAAACACTTTTTAACCATCAGATATTATTAGAACCCACTCATTGTCATGAGAATAGTATGAGGGAAACCACCCCCATGATTTAATCACCTCCCACCAGGTCTCTCCCTCAATACCTGGGTATTACAATTTGAGATGAGATTTGGGTGGGGACGCAGAGCCAAACCATATTAGTGCTTATAATCACTAATCAGCAAAAAAATGCAAATCCAAACCACAGTGAGATATCCTCCACCAGTCAGAGTGGCTTTTGGTAAAATGTAAAAAAAAAAAAAAAAAAAAAATAGCCGATATTGGTGAGGCTTTGGAGGAAAGGGAACACACGTACACTGTTTTGTTTTGTTTTTTTTAATTTATTATTATACTTTAAGTTTTAGGGTACATGTGCACAATGTGCAGGTTAGTTACACATGTATACATGTGCCATGCTGGTGTACTGCACCCACTAACTCATCATCTAGCATTAGGTATATCTCCCAATGCTATCCCTCCCCCCTCCCCCCACCCCACAACAGTCCCCAGAGTGTGATGTTCCCCTTCCTGTGTGTGATGGGAATGTAAATTAGTTCAGCTACTGTGGAGAGCAGTTTGGAGATTTCTCAAAGAAATAAGAGCTGAATTACCATTTGACCCAGCAATCACATTACTGGGTATATATCTAAAAGAAAATAAGTCATTTTACCAAAAGACATTTGCACCTGTATATTCATTGCAGCACTATTCACAATAGCAAAGAAAGGGAATCAACTCAGGTGTCCCTCATCGGTGAACTGGATCAAGAAAATGTGGTGTAGGTACACCATGTAATACTATGCAGCCATAAAAAAAATGAAGTCATGTTCTTTGCAGCAACATGGATGTAGCTGGAGACCATTATCCTAAGTGAACTAACTCAGAAACAGATAGATAAATACAGTAATTTCTCATTTGTAAGTGGGAGCTAAACATAGGGTACACATGGATATAAAGGTGGGAACAATAGACACTGAAGACTATTAGATGGGGGAGGGAAGGAGAGGGACAAGGGTTGAAAAATTAACTGTTCCATATTATGCTCACCATCTGGTTAATGGAAATATTTGTACTCCAAACCTCAGCATCAAGCAGTATCCCATGTAAAAAACCTGTATATGTACCCACTAAATCTAAAATAGATATTGATAAAAAGTTTTTCCATATCAGCAATAATTGAATTGAAGGTGTAAAACTGTAATAAAAATTGGGACACTATAAAGTATCTTGTAGTTTAAGGTATAAAAAAAAAAAACCCTAAAACCATCTATATAGAAAATTTTAGGAATTGATCTTAAAGGAAATCCAAATAAGTGGAGAATTATGTCATGTTAATGAATGTGATAATTTAATATTAAATTACATTATTTTTCCAATAAATCTAATATGGTCATTGATTTTAATAAAATATTTGATTCTAAAATGAGCATAATTGAGGGAGGAGCCAAGATGGCCGAATAGGAACAGCTCCGGTCTACAGCTCCCAGCGTGAGCGACGCAGAAGACGGGTGATTTCTGCATTTCCATCTGAGGTACCGGGTTCATCTCACTAGGGAGTGCCAGACAGTGGGCGCAGGCCAGTGTGTGTGCGCACCGTGCGCGAGCCGAAGCAGGGCGAGGCATTGCCTCACCTGGGAAGCGCAAGGGGTCAGGGAGTTCCCTTTCCGAGTCAAAGAAAGGGGTGACGGACGCACCTGGAAAATCGGGTCACTCCCACCCGAATATTGCGCTTTTCAGACCGGCTTAAGAAACGGCGCACCATGAGACTATATCCCACACCTGGCTCAGAGGGTCCTAGCCCACGGAATCTCGCTGATTGCTAGCACAGCAGTCTGAGATCAAACTGCAAGGCGGCAACGAGGCTGGGGGAGGGGCACCCGCCATTGCCCAGGCTTGCTTAGGTAAACAAAGCAGCCTGGAAGCTCGAACTGGGTGGAGCCCACCACAGCTCAAGGAGGCCTGCCTGCCTCTGTAGGCTCCACCTCTGGGGGCAGGGCACAGACAAACAAAAAGACAGCAGTAACCTCTGCAGACTTAAGTGTCCCTGTCTGACAGCTTTGAAGAGAGCAGTGGTTCTCCCAGCACTCAGCTGGAGATCTGAGAATGGGCAGACTGCCTCCTCAAGTGGGTCCCTGACCCCTGACCCCTGAGCAGCCTAACTGGGAGGCACCCCCCAGCAGGGGCACACTGACACCTCACACGGCAGGGTATTCCAACAGACCTGCAGCTGAGGGTCCTGTCTGTTAGAAGGAAAACTAACAACCAGAAAGGACATCTACACCAAAAACCCATCTGTACATCACCATCATCAAAGACCAAAAGTAGATAAAACCACAAAGATGGGGAAAAAACAGAACAGAAAAACTGGAAACTGTAAAACGCAGAGCGCCTCTCCTCCTCCAAAGGAACGCAGTTCCTCACCAGCAACAGAACAAAGCTGGATGGAGAATTATTTTGACGAGCTGAGAGAAGAAGGCTTCAGACGATCAAATTACTCTGAGCTACGGGAGGACATTCAAACCAAAGGCAAAGAAGTTGAAAACTTTGAAAAAAATTTAGAAGAATGTATAACTAGAATAACCAATACAGAGAAGTGCTTAAAGGAGCTGATGGAGCTGAAAACCAAGGCTCGAGAACTACGTGAAGAATGCAGAAGCCTCAGGAGCTGATGCGATCAACTGGAGGAAAGGGTATCAACAATGGAAGATGAAATGAATGAAATGAAGCGAGAAGGGAAGTTTAGAGAAAAAAGAATAAAAAGAAATGAGCAAAGCCTCCAAGAAATATGGGACTATGTGAAAAGACCAAATCTACGTCTGATTGGTGTACCTGAAAGTGATGTGGAGAATGGAACCAAGTTGGAAAACACTCTGCAGGATATTATCCAGGAGAACTTCCCCAATCTAGCAAGGCAGGCCAACGTTCAGATTCAGGAAATACAGAGAACGCCACAAAGATACTCCTCGAGAAGAGCAACTCCAAGACACATAATTGTCAGATTCACCAAAGTTGAAATGAAGGAAAAAATGTTAAGGGCAGCCAGAGAGAAAGGTCGGGTTACCCTCAAAGGAAAGCCCATCAGACTAACAGCGGATCTCTCGGCAGAAACCCTACAAGCCAGAAGAGAGTGGGGGCCAATATTCAACATTCTTAAACAAAAGAATTTTCAACCCAGAATTTCATATCCAGCCAAACTAAGCTTCATAAGTGAAGGAGAAATAAAATACTTTATAGACAAGCAAATGCTGAGAGATTTTGTCACCACCAGGCCTGCCCTAAAAGAGCTCCTGAAGGAAGCGCTAAACATGGAAAGGAACAACCGGTACCAGCCGCTGCAAAATCATGCCAAAATGTAAAGACCATCGAGACTAGGAAGAAACTGCATCAACTAATGAGCAAAATCACCAGCTAACATCATAATGACAGGATCAAATTCACACATAACAATATTAACTTTAAATATAAATGGACTAAATTCTGCAATTAAAAGACACAGACTGGCAAGTTGGATAAAGAGCCAAGACCCATCAGTGTGCTGTATTCAGGAAACCCATCTCACGTGCAGAGACACACATAGGCTCAAAATAAAAGGATGGAGGAAGATCTACCAAGCCAATGGAAAACAAAAAAAGGCAGGGGTTGCAATCCTAGTCTCTGATAAAACAGACTTTAAACCAACAAAGATCAAAAGAGACAAAGAAGGCCATTACATAATGGTAAAGGGATCAATTCAACAAGAGGAGCTAACTATCCTAAATATTTATGCACCCAATACAGGAGCACCCAGATTCATAAAGCAAGTTCTGAGTGACCTACAAAGAGACTTAGACTCCCACACATTAATAATGGGAGACTTTAACACCCCACTGTCAACATTAGACAGATCAACGAGACAGAAAGTCAACAAGGATACCCAGGAATTGAACTCAGCTCTGCACCAAGCAGACCTAATAGACATCTACAGAACTCTCCACCCCAAATCAACAGAATATACATTTTTTTCAGCACCACACCACACCTATTCCAAAATTGACCACATAGTTGGAAGTAAAGCTCTCCTCAGCAAATGTAAAAGAACAGAAATTATAACAAACTATCTCTCAGACCACAGTGCAATCAAACTAGAACTCAGGATTAAGAATCTCACTCAAAGCCGCTCAACTACATGGAAACTGAACAACCTGCTCCTGAATGACTACTGGGTACATAACGAAATGAAGGCAGAAATAAAGATGTTCTTTGAAACCAACGAGAACAAAGACACCACATACCAGAATCTCTGGGACGCATTCAAAGCAGTGTGTAGAGGGAAATTTATAGCACTAAATGCCTACAAGAGAAAGCAGGAAAGATCCAAAATTGACACCCTAACATCACAATTAAAAGAACTAGAAAAGCAAGAGCAAACACATTCAAAAGCTAGCAGAAAGCAAGAAATAACTAAAATCAGAGCAGAACTGAAGGAAATAGAGACACAAAAAACCCTTCAAAAAATCAATGAATCCAGGAGCTGGTTTTTTGAAAGGATCAACAAAATTGATAGACCGCTAGCAAGACTAATAAAGAAAAAAAGAGAGAAGAATCAAATAGACACAATAAAAAATGATAAAGGGGATATCACCACCGATCCCACAGAAATACAAACTACCATCAGAGAATACTACAAACACCTCTACGCAAATAAACTAGAAAATCTAGAAGAAATGGATACATTCCTCGACCCATACACTCTCCCAAGACTAAACCAGGAAGAAGTTGAATCTCTGAATAGACCAATAACAGGCTCTGAAATTGTGGCAATAATCAATAGTTTACCAACCAAAAAGAGTCCAGGACCAGATGGATTCACAGCCGAATTCTACCAGAGGTACAAGGAGGAACTGGTACCATTCCTTCTGAAACTATTCCAATCAATAGAAAAAGAGGGAATCCTCCCTAACTCATTTTATGAGCCCAGCATCATTCTGATACCAAAGCAGGGCAGAGACACAACCAAAAAAGAGAATTTTAGACCAATATCCTTGATGAACATTGATGCAAAAATCCTCAATAAAATACTGGCAAACCGAATCCAGCAGCACATCAAAAAGCTTATCCACCATGATCAAGTGGGCTTCATCCCTGGGATGCAAGGCTGGTTCAATATACGCAAATCAATAAATGTAATCCAGCATATAAACAGAGCCAAAGACAAAAACCACATGATTATCTCAATAGATGCAGAAAAAGCCTTTGACAAAATTCAACAACCCTTCATGCTAAAAACTCTCAATAAATTAGGTATTGATGGGACGTATTTCAAAATAATAAGAGCTATCTATGACAAACCCACAGCCAATATCATACTGAATGGGCAAAAACTGGAAGCATTCCCTTTGAAAACTGGCACAAGACAGGGATGCCCTCTCTCACCGCTCCTATTCAACATAGTGTTGGAAGTTCTGGCCAGGGCAATCAGGCAGGAGAAGGAAATAAAGGGTATTCAATTAGGAAAAGAGGAAGTCAAATTGTCCCTGTTTGCAGACGACATGATTGTTTATCTAGAAAACCCCATTGTCTCAGCCCAAAATCTCCTTAAGCTGATAAGCAACTTCAGCAAAGTCTCAGGATACAAAATCAATGTACAAAAATCACAAGCATTCTTATACACCAACAACAGACAAACAGAGAGCCAAATCATGAGTGAACTCCCATTCACAATTGCTTCAAAGAGAATAAAATACCTAGGAATCCAACTTACAAGGGATGTGAAGGACCTCTTCAAGGAGAACTACAAACCACTGCTCAAGGAAATAAAAGAGGACACAAACAAATGGAAGAACATTCCATGCTCATGGGTAGGAAGAATCAATATCGTGAAAATGGCCATACTGCCCAAGGTAATTTACAGATTCAATGCCATCCCCATCAAGCTACCAATGACTTTCTTCACAGAATTGGAAAAAAGTACTTTAAAGTTCATATGGAACCAAAAAAGAGCCCGCATCGCCAAGTCAATCCTAAGCCAAAAGAACAAAGCTGGAGGCATCACACTACCTGACTTCAAACTATACTACAAGGCTACAGTAACCAAAACAGCATGGTACTGGTACCAAAACAGAGATATAGATCAATGGAACAGAACAGAGCCCTCAGAAATAATGCCACATATCTACAACTATCTGATCTTTGACAAACCTGAGAAAAACAAGCAATGGGGAAAGGATTCCCTATTTAATAAATGGTGCTGGGAAAACTGGCTAGCCATATGTAGAAAGCTGAAACTGGATCCCTTCCTTACACCTTATACAAAAATCAATTCAAGATGGATTAAAGATTTAAACGTTAGACCTAAAACCATAAAAACCCTAGAAGAAAACCTAGGCATTACCATTCAGGACATAGGCGTGGGCAAGGACTTCATGTCCAAAACACCAAAAGCAATGGCAACAAAAGCCAAAATTGACAAATGGGATCTAATTAAACTAAAGAGCTTCTGCACAGCAAAAGAAACTACCATCAGAGTGAACAGGCAACCTACAACATGGGAGAAAATTTTCGCAACCTACTCATCTGACAAAGGGCTAATATCCAGAATCTACAATGAACTCAAACAAATTTACAAGAAAAAAACAAACAACCCCATCAAAAAGTGGGCGAAGGACATGAACAGACACTTCTCAAAAGAAGACATTTATGCAGCCAAAAAACACATGAAGAAATGCTCATCATCACTGGCCGTCAGAGAAATGCAAATCAAAACCACTATGAGATATCATCTCACACCAGTTAGAATGGTAATCATTAAAAAGTCAGGAAACAACAGGTGCTGGAGAGGATGTGGAGAAATAGGAACACTTTTACACTGTTGGTGGGACTGTAAACTAGTTCAACCATTGTGGAAGTCAGTGTGGCGATTCCTCAGGGATCTAGAACTAGAAATACCATTTGACCCAGCCATCCCATTACTGGGTATATACCCAAAGGACTATAAATCATGCTGCTATAAAGACACATGCACACGTATGTTTATTGCGGCATTATTCACAATAGCAAAGACTTGGAACCAACCCAAATGTCCAACAATGATAGACTGGATTAAGAAAATGTGGCACATATACACCATGGAATACTATGCAGCCATAAAAAATGATGAGTTCATGTCCTTTGTAGGGACATGGATGAAATTGGAAACCATCATTCTCAGTAAACTATCGCAAGAACAAAAAACCAAACACCGCATATTCTCACTCATAGGTGGGAACTGAACAATGAGATCACTTGGACACAGGAAGGGGAATATCACACTCTGGGGACTGTGGTGGGGTCGGGGGAGGGGGGAGGGATAGCATTGGGAGATATACCTAATGCTAGATGACATGTTAGTGGGTGCAGCGCACCAGCATGGCACATGTATACATATGTAACTAACCTGCACAATGTGCACATGTACCCTAAAACTTAGAGTATAATAAAAAAAAAAAAAATTAAAAAAAAAAAAAATGAGCATAATTTTTCATAAATAACTTGATTATTTTTTTAAAATGCAGAGGGTCAGACTTGCCTTATCAGACATCAGAACTTATTACAAATATATGTGGAAAAATGTGGTAACAGGTGAAGTTTTAGTTTCCATTAAGAAATATTAGATCTGGCTGGCTACAGTGGCTCATGCCTGTAATCCTAGTACTTTGGGAGGCTGAGGAGGGTGGATCACCCAAGGTCAGGAGTTCAAGATTAGCCTGGCCAGCGTGGCAAAACCCCTTCTCTACTAAAAAAATACAAAAATCAGCTGGGCATGGTGGTGGGTGCCTGTAATCACAGCTACTCAGGAGGCTGAGGCAGGGAGAATTGCTTGAACCCGTGAGATGGAGGTTGCAGTTGAGCTGAGATTGCACCACTGCACTCTAGCATGGGTGACAGAGTGAGACTACATCTCAAATAAATAAATAAATAAATAGAACTACTGGATCTCACTGGCAATGGAAAGGGAAAGGAAAATTACTGATGGCAGCATACTACTAATGGTAAATAAGCACATGAAAAGATGCTCAACATCATATGTCATTAGAAAATTGCAAACTAAAACAATGATTTGCTACTACATACCTATTATAATGGCCAAAATCCAAAATACCAATACTACTGAGTGCTGGTAAAACAATGAGCAGAAATAATTCTTATTCATTGCTAGTGGGGATGCGAAATGGTATATCCACTTTGGAAGACAGTTTAGCAGTTTCTTATGACACTAAGCACACTCTTAGTATATGATTCCTTAATTATGCTCCTTGGTATTTGCCAAAAGAGTTGAAAACTTATGCCCCACAAAACATGCAGAAAAGTGTTTATGCTAGTGTTATTCATAATTACCAAAAGAGAAACAACCAAGGTACATTTCAATAGGCAAATAGACAAACACTCTATGGTGTAGCCATACAATGGAATATTATTCAGTGCTATATAAAAAAAGAGAGCCGGCTGGGTGTGGTGGCTCATGCCTGTAATCCCAGCACTTTGGGAAGCTGAGGTGGGTGGATCGCGAGGTCAGGAGTTCGAGACCTGCCTGGCCAATATGGTGAAATCCTGTCTCTACTAAAAATACAAAAATTAGCTGGGCATGGTGATGCACGCCTGTAGTCCCAGCTGCTCAGGAGGCTGAGACAGGAAAATCCCTTGAGCCCAGGAGGTGGAGGTTGTAGTGAGCTGAGATCGTGCCACTGCGCTCCACCCTGGGTGACAGAGCAAGACTCCGTCTCAAAAACAAAAACAAAAAAAATAAAAAATAAAAAAGAGAAAGAAAGCCATAAAAAGGCATGGAAGAACCTTAAATGCATAATACTGAGTGAAAGAAGCCAATATGAAAGCCTATATACTATGTGATTTCAAGTATATGACATTTTGAAAAAGGCAAAACTGTGCAGACAGTAAGAAGATCAGTCATTTCGAGGGGCCCCTGGGGAGGAAAGAAAGGAGGAATAACTAGGTAGAGCACAGGGGATTTTTAGGGCAGTTAAACTATTATTCTGTGTAATATTGTCATGATGGGTACATCTTATTATACATCTATTAAAATCCATATACTGGACAACATAAAGAGTGAACCCTAATATAATTATGAACTTCAGATAAAAATGATTTATCAACATTGGCTCATCACTTGTAACAAATGTAACATACTAATGTTAAAAATACCACGAGATGTTAAAAATAGGAGAAATGGGGGTGGAGTGAGAGAGTCTTTGGACACACACTTTAATTTTCACTAATTTTTGCCTGGAAACCTAAAACAGCTCAAAAAGTAATATATATATGTGGTTACTACAATGTCTTATTCAGATTAATACACAGTGAGAGATTGTGTCTAAGAACTGACATGGTCTTTAGTTTGAATAACAACACTGAAATGCAATATTAATGTAATTATAAATTAATAGAAAAAGTAAATTTTTCATATATGAATTATTTATAACACTTTATTGAAATAACCCACATCAATCCTCATCAGTTCTGATGTCCACATAATAATTAAAGGCCTCCAGCAGGTCCAATTTCATTAATTCCTAGAACAAATGAGTTTCACTCTAGCAGGCCATAAGTAGCGGTTCTTCAACTGAGAATGAGATCTAGAAAGAGAAAGATGTGTTCTATTTCTTCATGACTAGTGTGCTAAGTCATGGAGACAGAATCTTGGGCTTGGAAGTAGCGTCATCTTCCAGGTTGCTATGTAACCCACATTCCCAAGGAACAGACTGTCTGGCAAACCCTTTGGTCTCCATCCTTGGGATTTCTTCTCCTCCTCTACGTTTTCTCTCTCTTTCCTTTTTTTTCTAAATCATTTTTTCTTTTTCTGACCAATGATGCTTGTCCTTTTGTCCTAGGACTGGATCTCATTTATCTTTCTGGGAATAGCGCCATCTCTAAAGACCCCAAGTTAACCCACTTCATATCTAATCATTCCAGTCTAGACACTAAATACTGCAGTGTCAGTCAACACTCCCAGGGCCAGATCTTACCTCACACCTCAGGGTCATAACTCTCTTGACTACACTGGGTTTTGTCCTACTTTCCTCATTCTTGGCCGTGTGTATTTTGTTCTATCCTGGGAACAAGGAGAGGAGAAAAGAGCTTTGTCTTGCATTTCAGTATTAACCCTACTCCCACATTCTTCCCAGAAAGCCAGGAAATACAATGCCAGTGTTTTCCATTCAGTTTATATTTCATGTATAATTAACTTTTGTGTTGAACATGAATAAACTGAAAATTTCTTGAAATAGAAACTATTTGATAAAATTTTGTAGGTACAATGTATACAACCCGTGTCCGATAAATTACTGACATCTAAACTTGTTATAGATCTTTTGTTCTATCATGTACTAATTCAGTAATTGTATTGCAATAAAACTAACACTTGTTTGTTAGTTATAATTTGTTCTTGGCAAGTCTTTTTCTGTGTTTTGCTTATGCTTCCATTATCTTCTAGATGAGTGCTTATGTATATCTAATTTAGAAGCTTTACATTAAGAACAGTAAAAGAAAATCCTTAAATCTATATTTCCACTTAAAATAAGATTATAATAACATGTGCTCCACCACATATAGATGTTCACAAAACATAAGCAAGTGTGAATATTTTTTCATAACCACTTATGAAGAAATAGCAGGGCTCCTATTACGTGCACTTTAACAAATTAATCTATAAAGTCATAAACACATACTCTTCAAAGTAGCAATAGGCAAAACGGGGAGAGAGAGAGCACAATGTTGCTCCCAGAAGACACTGAATTTATTGCTATTACAGAATAAATTTTTGAAAGGGATGAAGCTTTTTGCTAACATATACAATGACAACAGCAAAAGGAATAGGAACTGGAAACTTCAGTTGAATCAGTCTATTTATAATGTAAGAGGTAGAGACAAAACATAGGTCATTGCTTTCTCATCATTCATTAATTCACTCATTCATTCAAAACACAAATAGATGCATGCTATGCATCTACACACTGGGGATACAAATGGCTACAACAATCCCTCAAGTTTCTCAAAGCCAGTGGGGGAAATATGCATATAAACAACAAATATCTTGCACTGTCATACTGGACATTTGAAGACTGCCTAATGAACTGTGAGACTACAAAATGAAATGCAGTCAATTTGTCCTAAGAAGGTCACTCACGGGGAGGTGAAGACTGAATTCCACCACAAAGGAATAGTCAAATTTTCTAGGCCAACAGGGAAAATGCTATTCCAGATGGCAGGAACATTGTGAGCAAAGTTAAGGGTCTAGGAAAAAATTTAAGTATGAAGAGATGAAAGCAGAACCACGTTGTTCAGAACAAGGGGTGGAGTATTTGGTAGAGAGAAATGAGAATTAGGAGGGCGAGACGGACAGGGTCTGACCAAAAATGGTCACGGTCAGCCTAAAACTGAAGAGTTTAGAATTTATCATGAGACAAGTAGGTGTGATTCAAAGATGTCGTAAGGTGCAACATGATAAGATTTGCTTTTCAGAACCACAGCCCTGATAGTCGTGTAGAGGCTGGATTACAGGTGGGGATGGAGGAGCTGTGGTGGAGGCCAGGGTAGGAGAGAAAGGAATGTAAGGAATGTGAGGAGTGGTGGGGTGAGTTGGGTGGGGATGGATTTCCTAAAAAGGTGACAGAGGAAGAGAGATTGGGTTGGGGCACTCAGAGGCGAGAACAGAGGGAAAAAAAGATCTAAAAGGAAGGAGAAGTGATAGGCCTGTGTACCAATTTGAATAACAATACTACAACTGTTTATTGAGAGCTTGTGATATACCAGACATGATATTTTAATCCTCAATACAATTAATTTTGGAATTTTTTTTATTTTATCAATTGATATTCAGAGGAGGTAAATCGCTTACTGAAGGCCATGTCGATTTTAAGTTAAGGGATGAGGTTAAAACTAAATGCTACTAGATACAGAGATGGTGTCCTCTCAACTACATTCTTTGGACCTCTTAACTGGATCAGCAACAGGGGAAAGGGTGGAGACTAGAATAGCTCTTCACAGTTCTCTGGATCTGGTTGGATGCTGACCAGTTTGGAGGAAGAAGATGAATTAAATGGAGGTACCTGAGGGATATCCAGGTGCAAAAGATAAATAAGCAGTTGGATGCACGGGTCTGAAGAAGGTTCCTGGTGACACAGGTTGGTAGATAGACTGAGAGCTGAAATTCACCGGCAATAATTGTTACTCTGTGTCTTCCCGTTGCGTTTATGGGTCAGATCAATATATATTTTCCTCTACCTTTTAAAGATGGAATGTACAATACCTATCTAATAGTTACTTCCTGAAGAGTAAAAATCTTTTTCACTAGTTTTTCATTGGTCATGTTGTTTATTAATGATATCCTCAACAAATATGTATTCATTAACCATTAGGTGCATTGTGCTAATTACACCACACTATTTGATGGAAAGAATGAGGTCTCTTCTTGCTAAACAGTTCTAGTCATCTACCTTTTATAGTTTCCTTTGTCTTTAGAGCAATTTATTTTTCTATTCATTATTCATCTTATTACATGTTCTTTTTGCTTCACTTTCTCTAATCCTGTTTTGCAGGAGAAAGATTATAAATAAAAACATCTATGTATAACTATAAAGCTTACAATCTCATAGCTGGCACATATTTTTGCAAAAGAAAAAAGTTGAAAACTTTTGTTGAAAAGAGTTGAAGCTGTTGAAGCTCTTTTTGTTGAAAAGAGTTGAATCTCTTTTGTAGGTATGATTTTTGAGTTGACATGGCAGGAAAATTAAGTGGCCAAAGGATTTTGATATAAGAGTAACAAAAGAGGGCCTCTAGGGACAAAGCAGATAATACATTGAGAATGAACAGAAATTATTTCTCAGGCTGGCTCTGCCAGGGCAATTCTTGTCCCTTCCCTATAATTAATTATTTTCTAGTTTAACCGAGAAAATATGAGACAATCTCAAACTTCCTCAGAGCTAGGTTACAATATTCCATTCTATGAGCCCTAGAACAACATGAACAGAAGCTTTAGTGGTAGCATTATAGTCTATGCTGAGGTTTCTTAGCAGTGCATTATTACCTTAGAGATCGCTGCTTAGTTCAGCCAGTTAAATGGAGGTCACTAAAGTGTTCCGCTCTTGAAAGAGAAGGGGGTGGGGAGGGTGGGGGGGTGGAGAGAGGAAAAGAGAGAGCGCAGGAGTGAGAGAGAGAGCACGCACGCGAGCGAGAGAGAGTGCATGAGAGAGAGCTCTTTCACAGAGCAATTCATGTAAATATATGGTCCAATGGCCAAGAGATCCATTAGTTATATTAATTAGACTTCATAGCATTTGCTGATGAACCATGATGAAAAAAATTGGAAGGGAACAGGAAACACATACACTAGCATCTGGTTTCACCACACTTGAGCCCTTGAGAACTATTAAGTGATAGTTTGACACAACTCAGAGTAAAATCTGTCTGCTCTCTGAAAGTGTGTATTTTCATAATTTAAGTAATTCATGCAAATTAGTTTAGATCAAAATGTGAGCTCCATTGTTGCCTACAAGTCAGCATGACTTCATGATTGTGATATAATAGTATCATCACCTCAGGGAAGGATACTTCTGTGAAATTAAGTGATATAGTCCTATCTGAGTAGGAATATTGTACATGAAAAATCCTGCTAATAAGCATAGGTCTTATTTTGATATTTTGGAATTTTATAGGGAATTAAATACAATAAAATAAAGCATCCTACTGAGGTCAGACATCTGAGAACAACAGGTTAGTCAAATCCTCATTCCTGTGAAATTTACCAAGGGGCTTTTAAAATGGCCAAACGTTAAAGTATCTAGCATGATGCTTGAAATATAATATGTGGAAATACACTAAACTAAAATGACCCTGTCCAGTCTCATGGCTTCAAATACCAGCCCCATGCTAATGATCAAATTTTCTATGCATTCAAATCTCCCGAACTCAGATTTAGATATCTAACATCTCTACTGGTTTCTTCACCTGTTTCCCACATCAAACTTCTTTCTTTTCTTAATCCATTTCCCCCCACCTTTTCCATTATATTAATCATAATTAAATAGGGACGTTTGGCTCAGGCTCTGAAATTTGACTCACATCCCATGTCAAATTCAACACCAAATCCTCTCAACTCTACTTTAAAAATATTTTCAAAATATGACCACTTCTCTCCACTACAACTCTAGCTCAAATCATCCTATCTTTTTCCTAGGTGATTGCAATAACATCTCACTACCTGGATCTACTCTTTGTCCTATAGTCAATTCTTATCTCAGCAGACAGCAGACTATTAAAGCTGTGAACCATATCAGCCTCTATTGCCTTCTGTAGCTTCCATTTCACCTCCATAGAAATCTCCACGATGACATCTAAGACTCTCTATGGTTGGTCCCTCTTCTTGCCTTACAACTAAAAACTCTTCTACCATTTCCACGGTATTCACTCTGCTGTAGCAGGGAGACCTATTTGCTGTCCCTTAAACAAAGCAGATGTCTTTCTCCTCTGGTCTTTGCATTTGCTGGTCCTATTACTAGCAGTGTTATTTTTTACATCCACTTGATGACTTCCCTCATCTCCTTCAAGTCCTTGATGGAGAATGTTCTTATACAGTAAGGACGTACCTGGCAACCATATTTAAAACAGAATCTTCAGTCCCATGTCCAGAACTCTTTATGCGCCTTCTCTGTTTTATAATAGTTTGAGAAAATCAGTAAGTGTTTTGGGGACACAGCACTTACCACCACCTGACATAATTAGGCATAAAACTGTATTTCTTAATTATTTTCTTTCTTATATATTTGTTTGCCTTTCATCATCTAAGCATTTAGCAGAAGTTGTCTATGTTATTCACCATGGTATTCCTAATTCCTTAAAAAGTGTTGGATATAAAACAAACATACATTGAACATTTGTTGAATAAAAGAATTATATGTAAAATTACGGTCAAGAATTTTTCGAGGGGAAAACTCTTATCCTCTAAACACATTTATTTGGATACCTGGTAAATTATACTATAATTAACTTGGGAAATAAACTTGTTCCTCTTATGTTAATTGAGGGAAGCTTTGGCAGGAGCATTCTGCTTCATCTCCAAGTATTTTAATCAAAGCCTATTGTTATTTTTTTCAAATATGACAACCCTATGGGACCCACCGAGCTGAAGATTAGTGAAGATTAGCTGGGACACCCAGTTCCTGTTCTCATTGTGGAGTGCCAGATTTCCTGGGCAAACAGTGTGAGTAGATAAAGCACATGGGTGGGGTGGCGTCAGGTTTCAGGCATCAGCCCATTCCAGGCTTTGCTCTTCAACACATACTGTCCTCCTGAGCCAGGACGCAGACCATGACTACTTTTGCCTCTGCACGTCTGTTCTGATTTCTTTCTTCATGTGGGATGCCTCTCTATCCTTCTCCTGCTTTTAATATGGAGCTTCAGTCTCTAAGCTAAAAGGCCAAGTCCAGATTCACCTGCCAATGAAGCTCTTTAAATTATCTCTTCTTTCTCAGGACTCACTGGCTGTAAGTCCATGGAACAAACACAGAATTTGTTACTTTTCATTGACATTGTTTTAGTTGAGTTGTGTTTAACTAACTTGTTGAATGAACTGACACTGTACATTCTCCCTGTAAAATAACAGTGTGTTTTCTATTATGCCTAGTCTGCTGCCTCAACTTGGCATTATGTTAATTTATCCACCAGCCAGTTTGTTTAGGTTGTATTCAAGTTAGTCTTTTGTGACATAAATAAAATTAGTGATGTGATTATAAAAGAGTGGTGCTATTTATGTAAAAATATGTTGGGTCTTGAAAAGATTAGAAAAAGCTAAGTTGATTAATATGAGGGCTAAGCAACTGTAAAATTTTTAAGAAAAAATTGTAAAATTAGAATAATCAGAATAACAAAATTTTAATAAGTTAAAGGTTTTCGTACTTCAATTACTTTAAGTTTTTGTTCTACTTTAAACAAATAAAAATTTAGAATTATAATTGACTTGTTATGATCATAATTTATACAAAGAAGACAATGTATAGAAACTCCAGTTAATAGAGTGATAATCAAAGGGTCCTGGACTTATATCAAAATATTGGCCAATTAATTTACATTTGTGTGTGTGTGTGTATTTTTAACCCCATGATCCTCCTCCTTAACTCACTTTTTAGATTAAGTATCAAACAACTGGTCTCAATTATATTTGAATAGAAGGTTTCTACTCAATTGTTCTCTAACTTGACCATGTTCGGTACTCTTAATTAAAAGATATAATTCTTTAGTAAATAGTTTTCATAGATGTTTTCTTTCTAACTGATTATATGAAAGCTACCCAATAATGGGCAGGTTGAATAGTCGTGGGGTAGGCTCAATGTCGGTCTGTGGAATGCTACCTGTCTCCACAAACCTAAGAGAACAAAAACACACCCTTAGCATTATTATCTACTTAACAGTCGAGTCGAACTGTGACTGAACCTGAGGTTTGCCTGACTCCATACTTCTTATTGTTATTCACAGAACCACAGCCTAATTTTGCGTGTTTCTTTATTTGAAGAAATCTTGAAAAAGAATTGCATTCTTTGACTTTTCTAGTTAATTAAAAATTTCATCTGAATCAGCAATATCTTACTGTGATGGCAATTGTATCTCCTAAAAAAATCACAGTAGAGATATATTTGGAATTAAATATATCCAAATACTTAAGTAGTACATTCCCAAATATCTGAGTAGTATATTCTATGAATTATGTCTGCAGGCTTACAAATGACCTTCATATAATATTAATAGAAACTAAACTAAGAGCTATTCAAATTATACTCATGGCATTGGACATTTGGGGGTAATTTTCACCAACCATCAATGTCTGTTATATAATGGTATTGCTACATCTATAGTCTTGGTCAACAAAATTTACTCATGTTTGATATAATTTCCTTATAGCCATAGCATGTCGTTGGAAGTAATGCAGTGCTTGAAATTCATGGCAAAAAATATCTGGTTAGGATTCCAAAATATAAACCATTGAATAAAATAGTGCCATTTACTTTTAAGATGAGGACAATATTTCGATGGGAGGATATACGTGGTTTTGTGAACAACAAAATAATATTGAGACCACATACATACAGTAAGTGTTCACACTTAGCACTATGTGGGAATGGCAGCAGTCATTTCTAATAAATAATGTGTGAAAATCAATAGGACAGTTCCAGAAGCACCTCCTGCTTGTTCATGGCATAAGACCAAAGCTCTGCTATATGAATATTACATATGTTTTTGACAAAACATCAAGACTTACACCATTTACAATTTTCTAGTTTCCTGGAGAGGAAACTTTATTAAAGCACGTGCTAAGTAAACTATAAGATTCATATAAGAAACTTTAGTCCTATAGCTGTTTCTATTTATTTGGAGTTGAAAAAATGGCATTGTTGTACACGTACTTGCTTTATAGTTAAAAAAAAAAGGAGGGGGACAAAATACATTAATCACACTTTCCAAGCATCAAGGAAATTTGTGGTGGAATTATGAATCATATCATTGTAGGGTCATTTTCCTTTGTATCATGATATCATACAAGACCAATGTCAAACGGAATAGGTGAAAAATGGACAAAAAGTTTTAAAAATCATTTCAGTTAACAGATTTAAACAGAGTTTAGCTATGAAGCAATGAGCAATGGTATACTAGCTAGTGAAAGAAATGAACAACTAGGGATTAAGTGTTGAGGAAAATTGCTTTCTAATGAATTAATTTTGAATTGGTAAGAGACAAATTAAAGAATAGGATTTAACTTTTAAATATACAACTTTGGTGACAAAGTATTTGCCTATACAGGTTTCTTATGTCTAGTGTGTTCCTTACCTCCCAAATATTATTTTATAACTCTCTGATAATTTCTGAAAGATATATATCAGATATTCCTATCTAAAAAAGTCATCAATATTTTGTACTAGTATCAAAAGTAAAGAAGTATTTGACATAGGTTTATTTACTGGTTTTATACATACAAAAATAAAAATATAACTCAAAACAGCAAAGATAACAATAAAAACTGCATACTCACCTTAGGGTTTTTAAATAAGCTAATTGTTTTTCTTCTAAACAAATAGCTAAAAATGTACAGTGAATACAAATGTACTTAATTTCTCTTTTTTTCTATATTTTGATTGGTTAGTGAAGTGTCACAAAAGTGATGATGCTGAATTTTTGCTATTTTCTCTCTAAAGTGAGGTTCTGAAAGAAATATATCTATAATTTGAGGTTGTGAAAAAGCCCTTTTCTAAGTTCTAATTTATTTCCTTTGTGTACTTTGCAGTAGACATAGATGTTAAAAATTCAACAGAAAGAAGAAGATAAAATAATCAGGACATGAAGCCCTTCTAGAAATTAGCAATGTCCTCTATTAATAATGGTATGATGATATGCCACTCCATGAGCTCTTGCTTCAAGAAGAGCTTCATGAAGCTCCTGCTTCAAGAAGAGCTTCATGAAGCTCCTGCTTCATGAAGCAAGAATTCATGGATTTTTGATTTCATTATTTCCCTGCCACATGGAAACAGGATATTTGGTCTTTGTCCTATCTCGATGCTATTCCTATGATTTTGTTACAGAAACCTTAATTTTGTCTGCTTTTAAGTAAAGCAGTTTTTATGCAAACTTCTAAGAGGGCAGCCAGATAACTTTTAAGCACACTTGAAACACCAGAGATGACTCTGCCAAGTGCCCCAGGGAAAAATTCAAAGTATGATAAAGACACTTCTTCAACCCATCTTTCTAAAGTTGCTGACTGTATAGGCTTGTTACAAGCATTAGATGAACCCAGTGAGAGGAACGTGTCAAAGCTTGAATGTGCAGCTCCAGGTTAGAATGTCAGCTTTTCCTTTGGGTTACTGAAGGAGAAAAGCCATTATCCATGCACAAAACAAAAAGTTACACGGCCAATCAAATGGAAGGCATAGATTTGGTAATCCAGTTTCAATATTTGCCATTTGCTTTAGTGGGGCTGAAATAGGTCCCTTAAGTGGTTTATGTTCCACCTTCTGGAAGTGAGCAGAAAAAATATTTTAAATTAATGTTTATTTTACTCTATTTTAATATCAACATTTTTTTACAATTGAAAATGGAACCTTGGTTTTATAAGTAGTTCCTTCATTCCATTATTTATGAGGTAGCTAGCCTTGATTTGAAAAGTGTTTTTTAACATGACTAGCTTTCTGAAACTCTAATACCCATTTTCTAAGATTTCTGTTCTGTAAGCTATTTTAACAAAGGGTCAGTGGTATGTCTTTAAATTTTGATTTTAGAAGAATTAATAAATTCTCATTACTTTCACATATTATTTTATCTACTGTGGAATGATAGATTTTCAAGCTGTCACTGTATTCCATCAGGTATTTCTGTTGGTTCATCAAAGTGAAATGAAATGAAATGAAAATGCAGGAAAAACAAACGAATAGAACACAATTAAGACTAATTCATTTTGGCTGGGTGTGGTGGCTCATGCCTGTAATCCCAGCAGTTGGGGAGGTGGTCATGAGTTAGAGACCAGCCTGGCCAACATGGTGAAACCCCATCTCTACTAAAAATGCAAAATTAGCCAGGCATCATGGTGCGTGCCTTCTGGTACTGGAAGGTACTGGAAGGCTGAGGCAGGAGAATCACTTGAACCTGGGAGGTGGAGGTTGCAATGAGCCGAGATCATGCCACTGCACTCCAGCCTGGGCGACAGAGCGAGATTCCATCTCAAAAAAAAAAAGAAAAAGAAAAAGAAAAAAAAGAGTAATTCACTGAAACACCAGTTTGTAAAGCATCAGAGATATTTATCTCTTGTTAAATATAACATTGTTGTTGAAAACTCTGCTAAAATCTTGCATTCTTTTTTTAAAAAGGTAAATGAATTTTAATAACATATTATGTCATGCATAAAAAATTATTTAAAGTTGATATCAATATAAAACTTATTGAGCTACTTTAAAGTTGAGTTTTTTTGCTTTCTTTTTAAACTTTTATTTTAGGTTCGGGGGTACAAGTGCAGGTGTGTTACACAGGTAAACTTGTGTCATGGGGGTTTGTGGTACAGATTATTTCATCATCCAGATATCAAGCCTATCACCCATTAGTTATTTTTCCTCATGATCTCCCTTCTCCCTGCCTCTACTCTCTGAAAGTCTCCAGTGTGTGTTATTCCCCTCTATGTGTCCATGTGTTCTCATCCTTTAGCTCCCACTTATAAATGAGAACATGCGGTGTTTGGTTTTCTCTTCCTATGTTAGTTTGCTAAGGATAATGGCCTCCAGCTCCATCCATGTCCCTGCAAAAGACATGGTCTCTGTTCCTTTTTATAGCTGCATAGTATTCCATGGTGTATATGTACCACATTTTCTTGATCCAGTGTGTCACTGATTTCCATTTTGGTTGGTTCTATGTCTTTGCTATTGTGAATAGTGCTGCAGTGAGCATATGCATGCATATGTCTTTATAATATAATGATTTATATTCCTTTGAGTATATACCCAGTATGGGATTGCTGGGTCAAATGCTATTTCTGTCTCTAGGTTTTTGAGGAATTGCCACATTGTCTTCCAAAATGGCTGAACTAATTTACACTCCCACCAACAGTGTATAAGCATTCCTTTTTCTTCACAACTTTGCCATCATCTGTTATTTTTTGACTTTTTAATAACAGCCATTCTGGCTGGTATAAGATGGTATCTTACTGTGGTCTTGATTTGTATTTCTCTAATTATCATGAACAGACAGTTTTGAAAATTTTGCAATCTTGTGAAGACAAATTAATACATAATTTTCTGAGCTGGGGTACAAATGGCTTTTCTGGGGCAAGATTGTAGAGATTAACAAAATGAGGTTGGGAGAAATTGAGCTACATTGTTGTCAAATTTAGCTCGCTGGGAGTAAAAAAAATACCCAACAAAACTGAAGTCTGGAACTTATTAATAACTATTCCTGGCTTCCTTCCCTCTGCTAAACATGGATTGTCAGATTTCTCTCTGTGAGTTGTCCTCATTCACTACTAGAGTCAGTCAATGGCCCTGCACTATATTCCCTGGCAATGATTTTGCAATGAGTTTTGTTCAGGTTCTTAACACTTTAAGATAATGTCAACGTTCTCCCTTAACTTCTCTCTGCTTCCAATGTCTTCCATTTCTAATCCACCCTGCACACAGAACAGTTTATTTATCCTTTTTAAATATGGAAACCACTCTCAATCGTCTACAGGACAAAGCACAACCCTTTTAAACTTTACCCAACTAACTCAGAAAAATAATTTCCCATTTTTGTTGTCTCACAGATACTGGAATATACAGATTTATACCTACTTATTTTTCCCACACAAATTAGCCCACTGTGAATAACCACAGTCTCTTTTCGTTGTTGTTATCTATCTGAATTCTGCCCATTTAAGGTAAACTTATGTCCATAATTACTGCTGCTCAAGAACTTCTAGAGCCTTCTAACATGTGGTAACCTATTCCCTCTTTAAAATACCTACTACCATGGTTTCAGTTTTCTTGACTGTTTCCTAACAGAAAAAATAGTACAAAGGGATCACAAATGCAGAAAAGCTAGAAAAATAGAATGATTAATATTCACACATTTTGGAGTAATGGATAGATGGTTTCATTGTAATTGAAAGCGCAGAGGATTTCTGTGAATTATGTATACTTTTAAAGCATTATTTCAGTGAATCCATGGCTGAGCACCTACTCTAATCTAGGTGCTGCCATTGGCCATAACAAGAAAAGGAGAATAAACCATGGATTACAAGGCCTTCCCTTCAAGGCTGGTCTTGTTTATTTCGGAATGTTTTTTTTACAGAGAACTCAGTTCTGATTTTGCAGAGTTTTATGTCACATGCACAGGACAGAAAATAGTGACTAGGGAAGCTCTGAGATTTCTAGCATGTCTGTTGAATAAATAATATTATTTTTTCAACTTTCTTACTGCTTTCATCTTAGGATCTACAGCACTCTAAAATATTAGTCAAACTTCAGACTACCCCTGTACTATTATGCTTACGGGTGATCTTTTTCTGAGATTTACTAAGGGGAAAATTTGATGGATCGTAGGCTGCCAAGCAAGTTCCCTGGAAAATGCAGATCAGACCAAGGAGCAGCCTTTTTGCCACAAAAAGTAGTCATGTTACTGCTCCAGGACTGCAAGGTGGAATAGATGAAAATGTGTTTATGTATGTGGCCTTAAGAATGTCACACAGAATTTGAAAAGTGAGAGCTTATCCTTAGAAAAAGAAAAAGGCTAAAGGCTTGTAGACACAAGAGATAGGACTGGACACTTGGAGAACAGGCTGATATCTTCTTAAATGCTGGGCAGACTTTAAAAAAATTCTATGGTCTGTTTTTGCTAACTAGACCCTATCTACTCTTCTTAGTAACATCCCCACATGGAAACACCAACTTTGTGCCATTAGTTCAGTCTCAGATGGAAAGAATGAGAAATCATCTAAATAGAGATATGGAAAAGATTTAGCAGGATGAAAAGAACTGAACAGCACTGAGAGATGGCTGATATATAGTTCTGGAATTATACATTCAAAACACAAGCTGGTGAGACATTTAGAGAAACTACTTTTGCATGCACTTGTCTTCAGCCCTCTGCCAAGAAAGTCCTCTAGCCCATGAATAAAAGCAATGTTTCAGGACAACCAAGGGTTCTTTGAATCATCTCCTGTGTTTCTGTGGGACTTCCCTAGCCTTTGGATGCCTCACATTGATCACTGCTCTGTGTCTCAAGCCTCGTCTCCTTGGCATCCATATGGATTAGCTTTCTGGCTCCCAATTTAGCTCCATTTCCTTGATTCTGACAACTTTACACATTGGTATGCTGCCATTTACATTCCACATGGCTCCTCACACATGCGTACAACAGCCATTAATTCATTTCTTTATAAAGCTGAAATTCAGTGAGTTCCAGCCATATGCTAAGGACTGTGCTAGGCGCTGGAAATCCGTAGTGAGCAACCCATTGATTTTTAGGAGTTTATATGTTAAGAGGAGAGGGACTAAAATATTAAAAATTATTTAAACAAAAATTATTGGTATAAATGTAGAAAAACATAGATTGTGTGACGGCAAATAACAAAGATCCTTGTCTAGGGATTCCGGTACATTGTCCCAGAGGTGTCACTCTAGACTAAAGCCTATGGCTATTGACTATGAAGGGACATGGGGTGGAGTAGAATGGAGAGGACTCCTGAGTAGGTGCCTTGTGTGCAATTCTGAGTTAGGAAGGATCTGTTCTCTCTGAGGAATGAGTGTAGGCTAATGCCACTGGAGCAGATTAAGCATGAGGCAGGAAGACTTTGTCTTGCTTTCCAAGAGGACAAATGCCTGGGTAGCAGAAAGGAAAATGAAGGAAAGGAAATGGATTCAACTGCTGATTGGGACCTGGGGACAATTCGGTTTAGGGTGTGAGGAAAGTGAGGTAGCCATCATGGCTCCATGTTTCTAGATGAACAAAGGACATCTGGGCAGCATCCACCTGACATTGGCCAAGCCGACGATATACAGCAAACAGGTGCTCAGTTTCATCTGTCAAGAATAATATAAATGTAGCATCACTGTTCTCCTTGTCACATATTTGTGAAAGTAAGTGTATGTGTGTGTAAGGTGTGTAAGTCAAGACAAGGCTGCTGTCATGCTCTCTGGGTAGTTTTTGAGTAGAGAGAGGAGGAAAGACCAGGAAATAAAATGTAAATGAGATGCATAGTCATGGTGAAATAAAAAAATGGAGTAGGAAGTAACCATAAATTAGATCTTTAAGGCAGAATGTTCTGGAGGAACATGGAGAGGATAAACAGCTTAGCGGAGTTCTTGATTACATACAGAAATGAAACCCCTGCATATATACAAAATTATATTAATATAAGAAGTCTTTGGTGTGATTAAAGTTAGAACATTAAACTTACTGAGCATATATGGAGTCATTATTTGAATTTTTTGTATATTCAAATTATAGTAGTATTATTTTTCTGGGGACAATTTTATTAAAATGAAGACAAACTTACATGGGAATATTGCCTGGAAAGTAGAATCAAATATGCAATAAATTTCTAGAAATTAACAAATGGTTTCATTTACACTATAAGCAATTATTGATATATAACCATTAATCTTTTCATTTGTTTTCTGACTTATAAACACTGCAAATAACATTTATTTAAAAACTTTGTAATTGATTCAAAATTAATCTCAATAATTATAACAATTTTTGGATAAAGTTTATGTAATCATTATTATTTAAAATGTAAAAAATACAACTATATAAGGTTAAACCGTTACAGAAGACCACAGACTTATTCAAGCATATTTTTGCTGTGTCAAAAGTATTTTTCCCTTAATGTCAAATAAAAGATTATAGAGCTAAGTAGTACTTTTCTATGAAAAGAAAAATAACAATGACAACAATGAAAATAAAAATCATGACTTAAGCTAAGAAAGAATAGAAAACCTTAAGGAATATAAGTCACAGGCAATTTTAGCATTAATTATGTAATCTCTTATTTAAAGTTAAACATAGCTATGAAAAAAACTGAAACATTCTCTTGCTGAATGTGATATTCCAACTGAATAGTGAGAAGGTTTGGCTTCTAAATAGCTTAAACTTAGCCTGGAAATGCAGATTGTTGGTACTTTCTCTGCCCTCCAAAATTGTGATAATGAAATCTTTTAGTCTTCCCATTTCTGTTATGCATAAATATAAAATGGGAAGAGGAAAATATGTTTTCACTGCCTTAGGATGATGCATTTGAACTCAGAGTCCTTATATAAATATCATATTATCAGAACTTCTACAATGACAATAGTCAATACTGAGAGCAAAAGGAATCCTAAAATTTTTCCATAATGAAATATATTATTAGCAAACATTTATTTAACAATTTCAAAGTATTTTATGGTCTAAAAATCACATACATTCACACATATGTATATTTGAACAAATGCCTAAGAAAATGAAACCAAAGTTTAAAGAAAAGATATTTTTAAATTTTAAAGCATTTATAGCTCTAACTAAAATGTTAAATACCTCTTTAGTGTGTCTAGGATTCATAGGCAAAGCAGACATTACTCCTGACGGATTTTAGTTTTTGACAATTTTTGCTCACTTGAAATCCCTAGAAAATATGCCCACCAGGTTAACAACAATTATAGAATAACTTATGAACTGGCTTTTAGGTAAAGTTGCTGAATAGTCATTGTTGAGCTATATCCTGCTCAACACATGAATTATGATATAATTTTTAAAAAATGTAATATGTCTTATTAATACATGTGATCAAGAGTCAAGCGTGTCCGCAAATACCTGTTCACCTCATCTGCACGGCTGAATGGCAGAAGTTTTAGAGCAAGTACCCCAAAGCAGCAATGTCAGCCATCTTCTCCAATCTTCCCTACACTTCTCGCAGCTCTCTCATAGATGACAATATGCCCTTCACTAAGATCCATCCTTTCTTAATTACACAGAAAACCTCAATTTCATAACCCATGAATAGAAAGGGGAAAAAATCTCTCAATCTTTTACTCCTTACAGTGCCAAATATACTGTTTGGTTGTTCTCTTCTTGTCTCTCTGACCGTATTTTGCTGTGTCTTTTTCTCTCTCCTCTCTTTTTTGGTGATCAGATAATTGTTTCTGGTCCAAACTGTGGCCTCTTTTCCATTGTTTTATTTTCCAAGCACTCTCTGCATTATCAGTCCTCCAATTCGTCTCCCTCTCTAGATGACACCAATCCTCTCTTTTTAGTAGCTTCATTTTGGAAACACCAACAGTGGCATTTTTATGGACATAGTACATTTCCGTACACACACAGACACACATGCGTGCACATGCATGCCTCTGTTTAAGACCTCGAAACCCAGACAGTTCTAAAAAACAGTAGATCAGAGAGGTACTTCCTTTCAACAAATCTCAACCAAATTTTGGCCAAAAATATCTTTTTTTGTGAATAGTTTGAAATGTATACCCTCATCTATTGAAAATTATGCATAATGTTTCCAATTCTGTTGAAATGCTTCAGTATAGGGTGGCATTTTTCCCTATTTTCAGTTAAGAATGGAATAGAACCAAATGCCGAGAAGGAGTGACAAATGAGATCCCTTCCTGAAGCAACTATGAGGGGAATATAAGGTCCACAATATAGCTCCTCTTGGAAATATTTGTGATAAACCATTGAATTACACTAATCTCCTTGTAAAAGTCTGCATTATGGTAGCATGTGCAGTACTGGAAATTTAAGAAATATATGTAATTCTTCTATACACTTAGAGTTTTTAGTCCAAATGTCAAATGATAAATTATAAATGCTGAGCACTAATGTTCTCCCTTCAAATTGCATTAAAAGTGCTCTGCAGCATAGGAAATGGAAATTTTAATTCACTAGTCTACTAATCTTCTTATAAAATTGCCTGTCTTACAAAGTATATTTACACATCAATTTACTAAACTGAAATTAGAACATTTGTCAGAATTGATCTATGTATAAACATATTGATTATGTATAATTAGCATTTTTATTATTGATAGCATTTTTTTAATTAGAACAAAAAACATGGTTTGTTATATTATGAAAAGCCAGCAGAAACATGCAATTGCCAGATTATATCCTTAAATATTCACTGATTTCCTGTTTCCATTTTATTTACTCCAGTTTCTTAACTTAGCAATCTTGAATTCAGCAAATGTTTATATACAGTGGCTATGTATCATTTACAATACACAGTAAAAATCACTGACAATTTGAATGAGGCATTGCAGGAAGTATCCTAAACAACACTAGGGAAAAAAATCCATTGTTAATATATTCAATATCACAAAAGAAAATCCATCCCTGTTATGCTAAAATAATGAAATTTGTTCTTTGTAATTTCCTAGAAGTAGATGGATAAAGTAATTTACAAGCTTTGGGTTGGTATTTTATGTAACTTATTTTTTCAATATAAAGCAATTCTAACATATAGAAAAGGGAAGCACATAATATTCTTTTCACTCACATGCTAGTGATGCCTTCTCATTTTCAGTAGAGTAATGCTTGGAATTTTATATCACAGGGCATTTGCACTTTATAACAACAAACTAATCAGTTGGTGGGGTGCCAGATAATATGTGCTAATATTTCATTTATACCATACGTAGGAGGAAAATTATTGGAGACATATCACCTTATGTGTGAAATACATTCAGGGTCAGAATACAAAAACCACAAGTACACATAAGGCATTTGGTATAAGCCTCCTGACTAAGCTTTGAAGTGTTACAACATAGTTTATTTGCCTCCAATTCAAAATGTCTCTTCCCTTAAATTAGGGACATAAATGGAACCATAATTTTCAGTGCTTGAGAAAGCATCCTTTTAGAGCAATGGTATTGAATTAAGATATTCCGGTTCAGAATACAGTGAAACTTTAGTGTCCCACGGACAACCCTTCAACATTTCTTATTTATTTATGAACTCAAAATCAATCCTGTATATTCAGAGAAAGCAGAAATAATGGCCGAGGTCTTTTCCACCTCAGTTGGCTTGATTTTCTAGGCATAGATATGCTATTGCTTAGGATCAAAGAAAGAGCACTGGGGCCAAGGGTCAAGAGATCTGAATTCTAGTCCTTGGTTTGACACTTCCGGGATGTGGGATTAGCCTCTATTTTCCTATCTGTAAGCACCTTTCCTTTCTTAGAGTTTTGACCATAAGGATTTTATTTTTATTTCAACAGAATTATATAAAGTTTTCTTATCTCCTCCTTCCACAAGCATAAAAACTAAACACTGTCCCTCCATTATCTTGTTAATGCCTCTTTCTTTTCATTAATTTTATGGCCAAATTACTGTTGTTCCTGGGGAAAAAAATAAATGAGAAGAGCAAATTATCATTTTCAAGCCCCAGTGGCAAATAATGTTAGCAGTTTTGGGTGCATCCTTTCAGAAATTTTCCGTGTATCTATATTTTCATCATATGGTGATGAAATTATACTCTACAAACTCGATTTCTACTGTTTTTTTTGTAACACAATATTTATTGATCACATTTGTATTAACATATCCTTTATAACATCTGCATAATATTCCATGGAATGGTCATTTTATAATGTAACTCATGAGTTTGTATTAATGGACTTTTTTGCTGTTATAAATAATACTGTAATAAGTATTTTTATATCTAGTCATCTAGATTGATTCTTAGTGTAAATTATTAGTGGTGCCATTGCTGGATGAAAGGAAGTGAGCATTTTAATCTGCCAGATATTTGTAATCGCTCTTCAAAAATTTGGACCTATTATAGTCTCACAGGTAGTGCATTAGCATGATTCTTTGCTCTATCTTTGCCCAAATTGAATGTTTTACAGCTAAATTTTTTGTTAATCTGATATTCTTACTGTTTCAATTGACTTTTTTAAAAAAGTTATCATTGAGGTTGGACATTTTTTCACATGCATATTGATTATCAACAGGCTTTTTCTGATTAACTCAATAATTTTTAGTAAGTTGTCTATACGCTATGATTTCATTTTTACCCTACTCCACTTTCAAATAAAAGAATAATGTATTGTCAACATGGATAATTTGGAAAATGTACAAAAGTTAGCAAAACAATCCAACAGGAAGCTGAAGAAGGAAGTAAAATGCTGCTATCTTGATTAAGTAAAAAAAAAAAAAAAAAATCTATTGGATTTGGTGACTGGCAGGGTGATCCAAAGCCTAGAATATTACCACAGACCCAATCAATCACCAACTACCACCAATTTCTTTTCTAATATCTCACATTATCTCTCTTCTCAGCCCCTTGTGCTCACCATGGTATTTGATTTCTGATGATTCATTCTCCAGACTAGCCTTACATACAACTTTCACATGCAGTCCTCCACAATGTTGCCAGAGCAACAGCTACAACTCTATAATTGAAGGCATCAGGTTCTCCATATTGTTTGCCATCTTTTTTTGTTTTAGACAGAGCCTCACTCTGTCGCCCAGGCTGGAGTGCAGTGGCGCAATCTCGGCTCACTGCAACCTCTGCCTCCCGGGTTCAAGTGATTCTTCTGCCTCAGCCTCCCAAGTAGCTGGGACTACAGGCGTGCAGCACCATGCCGAGCTAATTTTTGTGTGTGTGTGTGTATATATATATATATATATATATATATATATATATATATATATATATAGTGTGTGTGTGTATATATATATAGTGTGTGTATATATATATAGTGTGTATATATATAGTGTGTGTATATATAGTGTGTGTATATATAGTGTATATATATATTTAGTAGAGATATATATAGTAGATATATTTAGTAGATATATATAGTAGATATATAATATATATAGTAGATATATATAGTGTATATATATAGTATATATATATAGTATATATATAGTGTGTATATATAGTATATATATAGTAGATATATATATATATAGTAGATATATATATATATATATTTAGTAGAAACAGGGTTTCACCATATTGGACAGGCTGGTCTCGAACTCCTGACCTCATGTTCTGCCCGTCTAAGCCTCCCAAAGTGCTGAGATTAGAGGCGTGAGCCACCGCGCCCCACCTGTTTGCCATCTTTGACAGATAAACTAGATAAGCTCTTTTTACGACACTCAGAGAATATCTTGAATTCACATTTCTGCCATGTTACTCACCTATCAGAACCAATTCCATCCCCCTCCCTTGTATCAAATATTGTCTCTGATAATAATAAATTGCATTATGTGTAGTTCCTGAAAAATTTCATGTTCTTATACCATTAAATTTTTCCCACACTATTTGTTATAACTAGTTTTTATTTCTGCCTAAAAAAAAATTATTCTCCGAATTTCAGATCAGACATTACTTTAGGTGAAGACTTTCCAGTCTGACTTCCCTCACCTGAGGTAGGTGTTTATTCTTTCCTCATCTCACAGGACTTTGCAAATCCCACTGTTATAGCATATTAAAATTTAAATTGTTGGCTTGCATGTCTATTTTTCTACTTAGCGTGAGTTCATTCACAGTAGTGATCATGTGTTTGGTTCTTAACAAAAGTGGTTTTCTTTGGATTTTCCAGAAGCAGAACCTAAGAGAAAAATTCACGTGAAAATAATTTATTAAGGAAGGGCTCCAGGGTAGATAAATAAGGCAATTAGTGGAGCAGGGCAAGGAAGAGAAGGAAGTCAGGCAAGAGTGTGATTGCCATGCAAAGCCCAAGGAGAACAGCTTTAGCCTGATTCCACAGGGAAACTTTGGAGTGTAAACTAAACTTTAGAGCTACTATAATCCAGACTATGGATCTGGGACTTTGGTGAGTATCTTTCGGTCACTGGTTAGTGGAAACCTCAAGGGGAAATAAACTCCCAGGCACTTCACGACCTTTTTAAGCAAGGGCCAAGTAGCTCCAGTAGCTGAGTGGCAGTTATCCAAAGGAAAAAATCATGTAGGCACTCAATAAATTTTGAGTGGCTGGCTGGCGGGACAAATGGATAAGTGACAAATTATGCAACTTGGGGTTGCTTAAAAGACAACAGGGGGACACTGAAGACTTTTGATGAAGACAGTGGTACCCCTCAACTTGATAAATTGAGTAGATTAGTTTAGAAGCATTGAGTAGAATAGATTAATGGAAGGAAAGTCTAAATGCAGGAACAGTATTTAAAAGAAAACTGCCGTGGTGACGAAAGCCTGTTCTAGCATGGAAGTAGCAGTATGCAAGGTAAGACTTGCCTTGGATTCATATTGCAATTGAAAATTTAATCATTCTTGATGAATGTCGGCATTTGTGAGATAAAGGGAAAGAGAGAAAGAGTGGGGGTTTTGTGCTCAAGTGACAATGGGATTGCTTACAGAAAAGGACAATCTAAACACATTGGGAGTTGAGTTATTACGATGGGCTGGGGGCAGAGCTAGTGTTAAAAGTTCAGCTCTAGATGTAATGGGAGTCAGTAGGGACAAGCAAATATATGTATAGCAGACATATTGGAAAAGTGGGACTTGATCTTGGAAGACATGACAGATTGGAAATATGGATGTAAGATTTAGCATTTAAGACAGGAGAGCTGAATATGGAATGGGGAGAGGGAACCTTTAAAACAGAGGTTATTGAACAAAGATATTGAAGAAGAACAGGACTATGACAAATGTCATTTGGTGATACAGAGAAAGAAGAGATAGGAAGAGGTAGAGGAGAAACAGGACTTAAATTCACACTGTATTCTTATCTTACTCTAATGACGATTTAAGCTGGCATAACTTCCATGAAAAACAACTTGACAATAAATACCAAAAATGTTTTAATATTTGGATATTATATTCCAGCAATCCTACTTTAATCTCAACAATCCTAAGAAATCAGCCAGAGATAATCATGTTAGCAACAGTATCAAAATAGTATTCTAAATGTTGAGCAATAGGAGAATATTTAAATTATTACAGAACCAAAGGGCAAATCTTACATAATCATTATAGTCTATGATTTTAGACACTATTTAATGCCATAAAATTCTTTTATAAAATATTGTTTGAAAAAATAGGCCATAAAATATATAAGCCAACATTACTAAAATGTATTTTGTTTATATAATGTATATGTGTGTAGATATGGATAGGTATGTACACAATCTCATTTAGTGTGTATAATTTATACACTGAGTGTTGACAATTGAGTCTTAATTGATTATAATTGTCTATTTTTTTTTTTCAAATTTCTCCAACTGAGCATGTCAGTTTTTATGTTTTTTTTTGAGAGAGGGTCTCATTCTGTTGCCCAGGTTAGAGTGCATTGGCATGATATGGCTAACTGCAGACATTACCTCTTGGACTCAAGTGATCCTCCAACCTCAGCCTCCCTAGTAGCTGGGAGTGTATGCGCACACCACCACACCCAGCTAATTATTATTATTAAAGATGGGGTTTCACTTTGTTGCCCAGGATGGTCTCAAACTCCTGAGTCAAGCAACCCTCCTGCCTTGGCCTCCCAAAGTGCTGTGATTACAGGCATGAGCCACCATCCCTGCCCTGTGTGAGTTAGGTTTTTTGTTTCTTTTAAGTGGATGGTGAAAATAAAATCATAGGAGAACTTCTATCTAATATAAAAGTTGTTAGAAATGTTAACTTTAAAATAATTATAAATAAATTAAAAAAATAAAAATTCAATTCTTTAGTTCCATTAGCCATGTTTCCAGAGCTGAATAGCTATATGTGGCTGGTTAATACTGTATTGGGAAATACTGATTTAGGGAATATTTCCATCATAATAGAAAATTGTGTTAGATTATGTTTATGTAGACTAAGAGATCTGTTAGGCAGATTTTTCAGAAAAGAAAGTAATAGAAATTCTAGAACTAAATGCAATATGCAAAATAGCCTAAATTAATAATTCAATGGATAAGATGCAGAGAGATCATTACGTGGAAGAGAGGGAAGAAGAAACCATCAATAATGATGAAAAGAGAGACAAAAAAAAATATGTGAAAAGAGAATAGTACATAATTTTATATTAGTATTATGCATGAATTTGTGTTCACATATGTGCATATATATGTATATATACATGTATGTGTGTATATATTTATATATATACATGTATGTGTGTATATGTTTATATATACACATATATACATACACCTCTTGCTGTTTATTCTAGAGAAATGATGTGCCTATGTGTGTCTGGCTGTTTAATCATATTAATCATATATAATTTGTGATCACTAGAAACACAGAAATATAATGTTCATCATCAAAGCATTAGGTACATGAATTGTATATTCATACAAAGAATCCTATCAAGCATCCAAAATGAATGAAATACGTGACTCAAGAACATAAACAAATTGAAAAAACAAAATGTACTATAGGTAAAATCATACACCAAGACTATATGCTTTATGGTTCCATTCATATAAACTTCAAAGGAAATTCTTAAGAGTGGTAACTAAATGTAATAAGGAATTACTGCCATAAATATTTGAAAAGTGTAGTTAGTATTCCTTCAATGGAACAAAGGGGGCTGTGACTGGAAGAGCAGACAGAAGGATTCTAGAGGGCTAACAGTGATGGTTTCATATACAAGCAGTGGCTCCTTGGCTTTCTTTCCACACGGGTTTCTTTCTCTTTCTCTGATGCCTCCCACTCTGCCTTGCCACAGGGGTTTTGCACATGCTCGTTCCCATTCTGATAGACTTCCTTCCTTTTCTTTTCACTCTCATATCCCAGATCAGCTATCACTTCCTCAGGGAACATCAGCCCTACCAGATGTGGAAAAGCTACCTTCTTACATACCCTCTGAGAAGGACATTCATTCCTTCCATCAGAGTATGCTTCAGTTTGTAACATTGTAATGTCTGACATTATTGAAGTAATTGCACCAAAAATGAAATTGGTACAACTTTCACCATTGACCCTCCAATGTCTTATACATTGACTATAATGGCTTGTTAAATTAATGGATGAATATGGTTACACAAATTGAATTTAAAGTGTCTATATAACACACACATCTAGTAAGCAGCAGGATATATGGACCAGTTGTTCCTCAGAGTTTTCTTTCTAGAGATAGGGAGTCACGAATAAATAAGGGCTAGCATAGCTAATAGTGTATTTAATTGCTCTGGAAGAGGCAAAAAAAAAAAAAAAAAAGTCAACCAAATGAAAAGGCAACCCAGGGAGTGAAAGAAAATATTTGCAAACCCGATGTCTGTTAAGGGGTTAATTTCCAAATTGTATATGAAACTACAATTCAATAGCAAAAGAAAGACCAAATTAAAAATGGGTAAAGGACTGGAATGACATTTCTCTAAAGAAAACATAAGGCCGGGCGCGGTGGCTCACGCCTGTAATCCCAGCACTTTGGGAGGCCGAGGCGGGCGGATCACGAGGTCAGGAGATCGAGACCATCCCGGCTAAAACGGTGAAACCCCGTCTCTACTAAAAATACAAAAAATTAGCCGGGCGTAGTGGCGGGCGCCTGTAGTCCCAGCTACTTGGGAGGCTGAGGCAGGAGAATGGCGTGAACCCGGGAGGCGGAGCTTGCAGTGAGCCGAGATCCCGCCACTGCACTCCAGCCTGGGCGACAGAGCGAGACTCCGTCTCAAAAAAAAAAAAAAAAAAAAAACAAAACATATACAACTTTTCTTTGTCAATTATATCTCAGTAAAGCCAGAAAAAAATAAGAGCAAAACATACATCTCCTATAATTCAACCTTGATGCCTTGCTCCAGCTGTATTGCACTTGACCCCTTCCCAAGATCTACACTCCCAGCCCTCTGGATTACATGACTTTTCTGAAATATTTCTTCTTTTTTTCCTCATCTCTATTTCCTTATGCTTTATGTCATTTTCCTGAAATGCCTATCTCTTCCTTCTTTGCATCACTGTCTGTCTGACAATGTGTTCCACAGTTTAAAATTCTGAAACAACAGAAACAACAACAACAAAACCAAAATAGCAGCTCTTAACGCTAGAAGATTTTTAAATATTGTATTACACAACAAAACTTGACACAACCTGAACTCATTCGGTGGCAAAATCTGATGAGGAAACACGGGAGGCAAAACGTGGTGCTGTCCAGTGCTGGAACAGGTGTGGCTTTAAAAGGGTATACATGTCACATTATCATTCTCAAATCCAAATGAATACATAGAACTCTAAATTTTGCAACATAGATGTCCCCAAATGCTCTGTATAAGATTGAGTATACACCTTGTATTGTGTCTTGCGCTTCATAATGATTGATAAATATTGCCATATAGAATGCCAAACCAATGAGTAATTATGTGGTTTTATGAGGCTCTGTCAATTTCAACAACAGATAAAATACATATCTCATGTATGATGGTGGAAGCTAGCCCATATAATTATGAATATTGGGATATTTTTCACCCCAAGAATTCTCCAGTCTAGTGACTAATGCCTACACAGAGAAGAAAGACAGTGACAATCTGATGAAGGATGTATGTAGAATAAAAATGACAGAATTGGGGTAAGTGTATAATAAACACAGAGTAAAGTTCTGTGATATTATAAATGATAATAGGTAGTTTTAGAGTTTTCAAAACAAGAAAAGTAATACATTAAGGAACATATTTGCTTAGAGAAGTATGATTCATACCAGTTGCAAAAAAATAGAAAAATAGAAAAGCAATTCAGATGATCTCAACTTTATTAGTTTTCTAGGAAACACTCAGTATGTGATATAGACTGTAGTAACAGTCTGAAGAGTTAAAAGAATGTAACCTTAGAAGTAAAAAATTGCAGAGTGAAGAATCCATTTCCTGTTTTCTGCAGACTTATCTTGGAAAATTTGAAGTATTCATTGTGCAAAGAATGTGGTTACATTGAGGTTACTAATGTTGATGCTACTGAAAGGGTGGCCTTTAAAATTGCCTCACACCTTCACAGGATACACCTGTCCATACTTCAACTTTGGAATTTCAAAAAAAAAAAAAAAAAAAAAAAAACCAAAAAACCTTCTAGAAAACTAGTAGTTCTGACTAACACTCTTCCGTGCCAGTTGTGTCTCTAATTTAATCATAGTTGTTGGTATTTTCCCTCTTGATTACATGCCAATTTGTCTTATTCTTGCACCCTGGGATCTAGACTTGGAGTAAAACACACAGGGATCCAGTGTTAGAGCAAACACTTAGCATGAAAAGACTTTAGAACTGAGAGCCAGGCTGAGGCCTTTGGTCAGATCATTAAAGGGTTGCAGTTTTATTTCTGGAACAATGTATGTACTATTTATTTACTTAGTATTTCCATGAAATAAATATGACTTTTTCTTTTTATTTAAATATATTTATCATACTTAACTTTAATATATCTTAAAATAATAAATTGAGTTACTGCTTCAGGTTATCATGTTTATTATTAACCTGTGTCTCCACCATCACCTGCAAAGCTCAGTTAAATATTCACCATCTAATGAGAGCAAAGACTATTCATGTTAATTTTTAAAATTTACTTAAAATTGTGTCTTTTACAATTACCTAAAATTATTTCATTTCTTTTTTAATTGTGTTTTGAAAATATCTAGCTGTGTAATATCAAAAAAACTTTTGCCTTTTTTCTTTTTAAGACAGGGTCTCTGTCACCCAGGCTGGAGTGCGGTGTGAGAGCATAGCTCATCGCAGCGTTGCTCACTGCAGCGTTGAACACTTGGGCTCAAGCCATCCTCTGTCCTCAGACTCGTAAGAGTAGCTGGGATTATGGATGCATGCCACCATGCATGGATACGTTTTGTTTGCTTTTGTAGAAATGGGGTTCACTATATTGCCCAGGTTGGTCTCGAACTCCTGGCCTCAAGTGATCCTCCCACTTTGGCCTGTTTTTGCTATTATTGAAAGTTGACTGAACTTAGTTTAGGTAAATAATGAGCCAAAACAACCAAATGCAGTTCATAAATAGAAGTAGGCTAATTCATTTGAAAGAATAGAAAAGCATGTTTGTGAGTGGGTGGGTATATAAATAACTTGAATGTAAATAACAGAAAATCTGTTTCCTTGAATGTAGCCCATTGGTTCCTGCCTCTCTATTGTGTACCTGGGCCCTGCCCTTCATCTTGGGTGTCCTGCCTGGAGAAAACTGCACCATGATGCCACTAACTTCCACTAACTGGAATCCGCCTTTCCCTCCTCCCTTTCTCTCCTTCACATCTCTACCCCAATTAAATCCCTAAACTTTGCTGATTAACCACTTAAACATCCTTTTAATTCATCCATTTTTTTCACTGTGTCTTTTCATTGCTAATTCTCTATTTGAAGCCACCTCACCTTTTTCTCACAATGTCAACTATAATGGCCTAGCTGATCTCCCAGTCATTCCAGGCTTGTATCTGCCTAAACTACCTTCCACTCTGCCCTGTGCTGTTTTCTAAACAACAAATTTTATCCTGTTGCTTCCCAATTTCAAACTCCTCAATGACTTGAAAATGCCTTCAGTGTATAGCTGAACATGATATAACTCTTTTTTTTTCTGTAGCCTCATGTTTCCCTTTTCATTGTATATTTCATTGTATATTACAGTTATACTTCGAATTCCTTGAAGTCAGGGAAATTGTCTTATTCAAGGTTGTATTCCCAGAACCTAATACAGTGTTTGCTATGTAGCAGGTTTTCAAGATAATTTTTATTTTAAATTTCAGTTTGATGAGTTTAAATCAGATAAATATATGACTTTTTGGCATCCTGAGTCTATTTCTATTCTTTCATTTTAGAGTTTAAGTAAGCTTAGGCTACTATGAGAGTTACTTGAAAACTGTTATCCAGATCCTCTGGAGGTTGAAATTCTGGTAATAGAAGCATCTGGTCTGTTGTCAGTTCTAATTTTGCTCAACCCAAACAGGCAGATAGAAATGCTTACTAACAAAGGCTGACTCTTGATACTCCAAAAGTGGCAACCGAACAGGTGCGGTGGCTCACGCCTATAACCCCAGCACTTTGGGAGGCCAAGGGCGGGGAGGGTGGATCACCAGAGGTCAGGAGTTCGAAACCATCCTGGCCAACATGGTGAAACCCCATCTCTACTAAAAATACAAAAATTAGCTGGGCATGGTGGCACATGCCTGTAATCCCAGCTACTCAGGAGGCTAAGGCAAGAGAATCGCTTGAACCGAGGAAGCGGAGTTTGCAGTGAGTCGAGATTGTGCCATTGCATGCCAGCCTGGGTGACAAGAGTAAGACTCTGTCTCAAAAAATAAAATAAAAATAAAATAAATAAATAAATAAATAAATAAATAAATAAAAGCAATCAACTCTTCATTTCCAGAATATTACAAAAAATGTTTGCCGGTGGATGAGAACAGATTTGGTACTGTATTTTATTCTGTATATATTTCCTTGGACTGCTGCAACAAATTACCACAAACTTGGTGACTTCAAACAACAGATATTTATTCTCTTGTGTTCTGGAGTCTGAACATTTGAAATGAAGGTGTGGATAGGATTGGCTCCTTCTGAAGGCTCTGAGGGAAAATCTAACTCAGGCTTCTTCCCTAGTTTTTGGTGGTTGCCAGCAATCTTTGGTACTCTTGCCAGTGGCAACCTAATGCCAGCCTCTGTCTCCATCTATAAACGCATCTCCTCCATGTGCCTGTGTCTGTCTCCAAATTTCCCTCTTCTTATAAGAACATCAGTCATATTGGATTTCAGATCTTTAGCAATCCAGTGTAAATTCGTCTTAACTTTATTACATTTGAAAATGCTCTGTTTTCAAATAAAGTCACATTCACAGGGCCCAGGTAGAAATGAAATTTGGGGGGATACATTTACTTCTACTTTTTTTTTTTTGATGAATACAAGGTAAAAAGAGTTGAGTATAAAAATAAAATTACAAAACTATTTTTAACATGACATGAGAATATTATTTTCAATGAATCATGTTTGTCAAACGATTTCAACAAAAAAGTGACAAAATCCAAAATCGTAATAAAGGTTTAACAGCTAATTAAATGCAGGATCCTGAATCACTGACTGACAGAATTATTCTCTCAAATTAGAAATATAGAAATGGTCAAGTGTAATTTAATATATTTTTTCTGATATATGGTCATCCTATATCAGCACTAGGCAGTCTCCTAGTTAAGCCTTTCCTTAACAGTAATGGTAAATACTAATAAAATATGCCTTATCAAATGGAATTATTTTGTGTTCATGGAAGTCAAACAATTTGTGAATAAGGACTCTATCTGACAACTCTGGAAAACCATTTTTATTGCTTCATTTAGAAAAGGAAATGGAAATATTGAGTTATAAGGGAAGATAACAGTTTTTTTAAAAAACCAATCTTTACATCATGATTATTAGAAGCTGTGACTCTCCCCTATAATGAGGCACTTAAACATTTTAAGGGTATTCATTCACAATATTGAGATATCAGTTTGCACTTTTTGGAAGGCAAAAATTAAACAAAGTGCAATCCTGGAATAATTTACAAAGAATAGCAAAAGTATTGTGAATGGACCGAAACATTCAACAAATATCTATTTAGTACTGACTCTGTGCAAGGCACTGTTCTATTTGTGGGGGATAGTGTGGGACACAGAAGGATAAAAGTCAGGCTCTCTTGCAACTTGCATTGCCCTAGTCATGCTGAATATTCTCCACCTGCTCTTCTGGCTTCAGTTCTCATACTTCACTGAGTTTTGAGCTCTGGGCACTGACTAAGTACTACTTCACTCTGGTTGCTTTGACCAACAAAAGGCAAAGACAGCAGATCAGAAGTTGGAGGAGAGATCAATCTGAGTGTGATTTCTCAGGATCCTTCCCTGCTGAGGCATAGCTTGGCAGTGCCTGATTTCTGCTACTTACTTATGTGTAAGGCCACAGAAATTACACATCTAATTGGTTCAAGTGTCTGTTCCTTACCCTTGCTCCTTTAGACCATGGAAATAGCTTTAGTCCATCTAGCTTTCTTGTAACTTGTGAAATTCTTGAAAACTGCTTACATATTTATAAATAGCCATTTTGTTACATTCTCTTTAATTATCCCCTTTGAATATGCTTTCTATTTCCTAAAGAATCTTAAGTGATGCATGGGGTTAGAAAGGAAATACAAATACATGAGATATTTGAAAAAAAGACATTTTAGCAGATGCTGTCTGCAGCCCATCCGTATCTTCCTGGCTTTCACCATTCTTGGGTATGCTCCCTATCAACAACTCTTCAACTGAGCACTCTCTTTGGCTGCGACAGTTTGCCAGGCTTAAAGATAAAGTAGATTGGGCATGCTAGAAACGAATGCATCCCTTCCACTTCCTTCCCCAAAGCAGCCATCAACCAATAATTGTCAGATGGTATGGACCAAATTGTCAGCTTCTTGGAACCTTGGTTGGAACTGCTCTGGGTCATATTCACCCTATCCTTCTGAGTTTCCTGCTGAGCCTAGGCACCTGGTGCCCACAGCAGTACGCTGCTTGATAACAAAACTTTTATTGGCTTACTTTCTTCCCTCCCATATTTTTCCACTCCAGTGTTGGTGAGTCCTAGGATTACCTCAGCAAATACACATTGTAGTCTCTCACACACATATACACACACCCATACAAACACTACACAAACTCACATTCTTGTGCAATAGTAAGCTCTGGAAGGTTCTGAGGAGAGGAGAGATGCACACTTTTTAGGCTACAATGGGCCCACGCTGGATATTGTGTTGACTCAGAGATTTGAAGGGTTGTGAGGGCAGACACACTGAGACTCTTTTAGGGAAGTTAGTTCATCTATAACACTAGTAGACCATTGCAAGAATCTAGAGGAAAGATGATAAGGGATTGCATCTTTGCCATGATGCTATGATGAGATTGCTTTTTAGATCATCTGATCAATATTTATTAAAATGTATTATGTATCAGTTTGTATACTAGAAATTAGCAAGAAGGATACTGTCCTCATTTTAGAGGTAACGACATTGAGATTAGGAAAGTAAAGTAAAATATGCAAAATCTCAGACACACAGTCCAAATCTGCCCAGAGCTTTACCCTGTCCACCACGGTCAGGAAGGTTGCCACACTCTAGACTGAGTAGAGAGGTAAAGGCAGAAGACAGCCTGCAGTGAACCAGCAGAGAAAACTACATAGTTTTCTCTACATAGGAAGTAGAAATAATGAAATCAGGAAATTTGGCAGAAAAAAAATACAGGGTAACTAAAAGGCATAAGGTAGCTTTTTTGTTTTGTTTTCTTATTTTCCTCTTTAACCTGAGAGAAACCTATTCTTCTTTACATGCCTAGCAAAAAGAAGCATTGGAGAAGACACTTGATGTCACATTAATGAAAGGGAATAATGGATTAAGGAAAGCTTGGTAGCAAAAAGAAGTTAAAATATATCTGAGAAAAGTATTTTAAACCATAAATAACTTGTAAGTATCTGCAAATATATGTTTATTATAAAATATTCAAATAAGAGAAATGTATAGAAAAAAACCCTATGCCCACATTTACCCCATTTCCTATAACCCTCAATATTATTGCTATCTTTAATGTAACCACACTTTAGTATGTACCTCTTCAAATATTTGGGTGTATGCATATGTGTTCACATTTTTGCATAAAGTGGGTCACAAAAATGCAATATTTTTGCAATTTGCTTTTTTTTACATAATGTATCCTTGACGTTCTTCCATATCAGTACATGTGAATCTAATTATATTCTTATTAGTTTAATTATAGCATCAGCTGCATAATTATACTACTTTAATTATCAATCACATTTTAAATTTCTTTTTAATAAGCTTTTAATTTTAAAATAGTTTTAGATTTACCAAAAAATTACTAAGATAGTACAGAGACTTCTATACAGCCCACATCAAATTTCTCCTATTATTAACATTTTTCATTAGTATGGTACATTCTTTACAATTAATGAATCAATATTGATATATTATTAACTGAAGCCCACACTTTATTCAGATTTCCTTAGTTTTTCTGTAGCATCCTCTTTCTGTTCCAGGATCCCAACCACAATCATATATTCCATTTGGTTGTCATGTCTCTATAGGCTCCTCTTGGCTGTGACACTTTTGCAGATCTTCACATTATTGATGACCGTGATAGTTCTGAGAAGTACTTGTCAGGTATTTTGTAGAATGCCCCTCAATTGGGATTTGATTGATGTTTCTCTCATGATTAGACTGAGGTTATGTGTTCTGGAGAAGACTACAGTGGAAAAGTACCATTTTCATCACACCATTTCAATGACATATTATCAACAAGGCATATCACTGTTGATTTTCACCTTGATCACTTGGCTGGGGTAGTGTTTGTCAAATTTCTCCACTACAAAGTAACTCTATTTTTTTTTCAATTTTCATATGGTGTATTGGTCAGGTCTCTCTTAGACGGATAGAACTAATAGGATAGATATACATATATATATAAAGGGGAGTTTATTAAGTATTAGCTCACAAGATCACAAGGTCCCATAGTATTCCCATGGAATACTGTGCAACCATAAAAATGAATGAGATCATGTCCTTTGCAGGGACATGGATGAAGCTGGAAGCCATCATCCTCAGCACAGTAACACAGGAACAGAAAACCAAACACCACATGTTCTCACTCATAAGTGGGAGTCCAACAATAAGAACACGTGGACACAGGGAGGGGAACAACACACACCAGGATGAGGGGAGGAAACTTAGAGGATGGGTTAATAGATGCAGCAAACCACCGTGGCACACGTATACCTATGCAACAAACCTCCACGTTCTGCACATGTCTCTCAGAACTTAAAGTAAAATTTTAAAAAATTAATAAAAGGAAACCCTAAAAGAAAAATTTCACTGTATACCAATGATTATTATTCATACAAAAGGTATGCTGTCTTTTTTTAAGTCCATTAATGGGCAAAATCTCCATAGGGACTTTCATAAATATATGCAAATTTTAATTTATCAGGTTTACTTTTCTCAGAAGGTCTTAAACTATTCAAGCATGAGCTCTACTATTATGTGGTTTTTCAAGAATATCTGGCCTGTATATGCACTGTGTTTCCATCATAGAACCTAATACTGATTTACAATTGATGCCTTAGTACTAGTATTCATAACACAATTATTAAAATATTAAATTTGAGCTAAAATTGGTAACATGTCAAAAATATTTGGAAGCATGTTTGTATTAAGTGAAATTTTCATTTGCAGCCCATTTGCTCTGGAAATCACTGAAAACAGAGACATTTCTGAGGGCAGAATCCTATAGTGTGTGAAGGGACTTTCCTTATATGATTATATTTGTAAGATATCAAATGGAAAATGAGTCCTTTTGCTGTTTCACTTGTTATCCTGAAAGCGTATGGCATTGACTTCAAAATGCTATAGGTTTTGAAAAATTCAAAACCCTAAATGATCAGCATTCCTACCTGACATACAAACAATAACACTGAAGAATTAGGTATATTGTATACTCAGTGAAAAATGAAAAATAACAGATGTAAGTAAAATCTATGATACTAACCTACATTGAAAGTAAAATCTTACAGGTGAACTTATGATGAGAAACAACAACAAAAATCCCTCAAATCAACATTGAGTCTTTATATTTAAAGTTCTACATGGTTTTCTAAATAATAAGACTAATCCATCAATTGTGAATATTTCTGAGGCATAAAATGAGTACAATGGACTTGCCTAGCCTAGCATTTTTAAATTATTCGAAGTATTGCCAATAATTAAAGACAATAATCATAAACTAAAGTCACAGAGTTTCAAAGGTTAAGGAAATTACGTTTTAAGAGTAATAAACTATTTTCTGATAGGGAGAATAATGAATTCAATTATTACTGTCTTACTTTACTGACAAGGAGAGAGACACCAATGAACCAAGTTTGTTTTACAAAATTACAGGCAGGTGGTTGCTTGGCCAGGAGGGTAATCTAAATTTCTTGATTCATATCAGGGACTGTTTGCTTTTTTCTCTAGTAAAAAGTTTGTTTCAAAGACATTTTGTTATCCCTTGTAATTCTACTTGGCACTGGTCCATGTAGCAGAAAAGTGAATTATACTTATCATGACTTTAAAATAAACAATGAGTGTCATACCATTGGCAGTTTATGCATTATGATTTGAAACTCAATGCCAATTTTAAAACACAATTTTATAGACAATCAAAAATTACCAAGGATTTCAGTGGAGATATACAAATAGAGTTTTGTTAAATAAACAAAGCAATGTGAATAACAAAAGCATCACTTACTATGATGGACAGATTTATTATTGGCAAGAATCAAATTATTGAAGAGAGCTTATAGGGGAAGCCTATAGCTATCTGAATTTCCTATAAAACTCCACAGCAACTAAACAAAAACTGATGGAAGAATTTAAATTGAACTTGGATTAAATGTTAACATGTATCCTAATGTCAGCAACAAGATTGTGGAAATAGATGTTTGTGGTTTTCAGTTTTCTTATTAATTTAGAAATATGCCATTGTCTGCTTTGGATTAGCGAGGAAATAGAGTGCATTTTCTGGATATTGTTATAATATATCAACAACATTCAGCAAAAGCTCCAGCTTTAAAGGTGACTATTATACACGAAGGCAGAAGGAAACCTGTTGCATACTGAAGGTTCTAGCTGGTTATTATACATACTTATATCCTCTTGCCTGATGAATAACCACCCTCCATGAGAAGGCACTCCTATTGGAAGCTCACATGTAATGCTGTTAAAGGAAAGTTACGTCTAATGAGCAATTGGGAGCCACTCAGTTAACTCTGTTGTCAAAAAATGACATGCCCCAGTTTGATCCTCCCTTCATTCAACAAAACTTAGCATTAAATAGCATGATTTTAACAGGGATCAATGTTTTAATCTATGTATAGAATAATTAGCAAAACAACAACTTGAGTTTTGTTCTATTAAATATATTAAAGACTGAATATAACTTTCTTAATGTCTGAAACAACAAATCAAGACATCTGCTTAGTTTGTAACTTAAGTAAAATGAGTTTAATTAGAAATGAAATAGTTGGACAAATCAAAATAGGGCAAAAACATTGAAATAACTAATTAATTTGGAAATATTTGATAGCAGAGGTGAATGGTGGCTACCCAAATAATTAAATCTGCACTAGGAGGTGGCTTTACTTTGGTGATAAAATAGGAGCATAAAATATGCCTAATATTGAATATCAGCAATTAGATTTCTTATATTTTTATAAAATGATTAGTATGGTGCTAAACTGAAGCATGTATCTTAAAATAACTCCAAAAGAATAGATGCATTGCAAAGACTGAGCATGTTGCCTCTTGACAAAACAAATAATGTATCAAAATTGGTTTCATTTGTAGTAACTCAGCATAATTCTATCTAATAAGAGGTGTATAGAGGATAAATGCAGAAATATCACAAAGCAAAGTAACTTCCTAGAACAAAGCCAGTTTTTTATGTTCTTACCAAAAATAATGAAGTGAAGATTATATATAATCACATATGTATATATTTTAGATTATTAGTGATTATTTAGAAAAGGTTTCACAAGCATTTTAGATATAAAATTACTTTATATCCTAAGAGAGGCTATCATGTTATATGCAATCAATATGTACTCTAATAAGATGAACACATTTGGTTGCAGTACCATGTAAATCATAATAATAATCTCCCCTTGGAACAAGACATGATTTGTCATGTTTTCCTTTCATCATATTAGAGTCTGAAAAATGCCTGGACCCCTAACAGACACATTCAATAAATATTTGTTGAATGAATGAAAAATATATATATTCTATCATATATTCTACTTAAATTTCAATACAGTAAGAAGAGTTCAGAAGAGTTAGCTTCCATTATTCTCAATTAAAGATACCATGTGGCCTTTATGGCAGAAATGTCTCTTCAGAATATTTAGCCTTTGATTCTATAATGTACTCAAAACAATTTTTATGTTAATGTCTGAACTCTGGAACTCTATTGTTATAATTGTATTTCAGATTAGAGTTCAAACTCTGCTTGAGGTTTGATTATCTCATGAGATTTTCTTGGTGTCCAGAATCAGAGCAGAACCAAGATTCCTTGTCATGTCTTCAACCGGAGAGGAGGAATTTTCTAGTTCCTGTCAACTGAGGGTGCTGTATTTATTCCTGAGCCTATGTAGGCAGCTTAGATTCAGCTTTTTGTATGAAAACACAGGCAAATCTCATTGCCTGGCCCTGAAACAGGAGCACTGACATCGAAGCACCTGGAGGATCTCAATACATGCAGAAATGCACTTGATAAAATTCAACATTTGTTAGTTATAGTTATAAAGATCTTAGCAAATCAGAAAGATAAGGAACACTTTTAAGTTGACAAAACCTACGGTGAATATAATAGCAAATTGTGAAAGACTGAGGAATATCCCCTAAGGTTGAAAACAAGGTAAGGATGTCTGTTCTAACAATTTATATCCAACATTAGGCTGAGGTCTTAGTGAAAATAATAAGGGAAGAAGAAAAGATAGATGCATGCAGTCTGGGAAAAACAAAACTGTCTTTATTAACAGATGTTAGCTATTTAGAAAATCTCAAAAAGGCTACAGAAAAGCTAAACTGATTTAAACGTGAAATTTCCAAGGTCATAGAATGCCAGGTTTATATACACACACACACACACACACACACACACACACACACATGTTTATATATATTTACATATATATGTTTAGATATTTACATATATGTTTACAGATAGTTAGATGTATATGTTTACATATATATAAAATCACACCCTTGTATATGAGCTAAAACTGAAAATTGAAATTAAAAAACATAATACCATTTGCAATACATCAAAAACATTAAATTATTCAGAATAGATCTAGTAAAATATAAGCAAGATTTGTGTACTGGAAATTAAAAATCATTGATAAAAAAGTCAACATAAAAATAAAGCAAATAAAGCAATGGAGGGATATACTATGTGTATGGAATAAAAGACTAAATATTATTTAAATCTCAGTTCTACCCAAATTTATTTATAAATTCAATTCAATCCCTATCAAAATCCCATCAGGTATTTTTGTTGAATTGACAAGCTGATTCTAAAACTTATATGAAAATGCAAACCTTGAGAATAATTAAAACACTATTTTAAAGAACAAACGTGGAGGATTCATATGGTTTGATTTAAAGTCACACTATAAAGCTATAGTAAGAAAGATAGGGTTGCATTGAGGTAAAGTAAGACTTAGATCAATGGAACAGATTATAGAGTCTAAACATAGATCCACACATATATAGTCAGCTAGTATTCTACAATGATTGATTTTCAATGGTGAAAGAAGAGACTTTTTTACAAACGATGCTTGAGTAACTTGGTGATCATATGAAAAAAGATGAGTGTTGATCCTCACCTTTCTTGTTATAAAAATATTCAGTTGAAATAGATCAGAGGCCTGAATGTAACATGTACAACTCTAGAACTTCTAGCAGAAAGTATTTGAGAAAATCTTTATGAACATGGTTAGGAAAAGATTTCTTAGATAAGGTGAGAAAACAGGATAAATAATAAAAATAAAAATTAGAAATATTGGACTTTATGAAAATTAAGAACTCTGGTCTTAAAAATCAGCATTAAGAAAATTAAAAGATAATCCACAGAATGGGAGAAAATATTTGCAAATCATATATCAGAAAAGGAATTTGTATCCAGAATATACTAAGAATTCTTACAACTCAATATTAAGAAGCCAAACAATTTGGTTAAAAAAATTAGGTAAAATATTTGAAAAGACACTTCACCAAAAACCAATGATAGCGATGACAAATAAAAAAATGATCAAAATTATTAATCATCAGGGGAATGCAAATTAAAACCACAAGGAAATATCATTTATTGCAACATTTAATATAAAAATAAAGATAAGATAACAAAACCATGTTCTGGTAAGGATGAACAATCAAACTCTCATATGTTTTTGATGAGAATGTAAACTATTATAGCCACTTTGGAAAACAGATTAGCACTTTATGTTATAAATTCATACATGCACTTATTGTATGACTGAGCAACTCTTTTCTAGGTTTTTGTCAAGGAAAACGTAATACATATAAAGTCAAGACTTACTTTAAAATGCATTATGCTAAGTAAAAAAGTTAGATTTAAAAAGCTTCTTCAAGCATGATTACATTTATATTAAATTATAGAAAACACAAAACTACTAGGACAAAAATTCATTTAAAGATTCCCAGTCAGGAGTTCGAGACCAGTCTGACCAACATAGTGAAATCCCGTCTCTACTGAAAATACAGAAATTAGCCAGGCATGGTGGTGGGCACTGTAGTCCCAGCTACTTGGGAGGCTGAGGCAGGAGAATCACTGGAACCTGGAAGGTGGAGGTTGCAGTGAGCTGAGATCATGCCACTGCACTCCAGCCTGGGCCCAGAAGCTAGGCATGGTAGAAAGGAATTGACTTTAAAGGGGCACCAGAGGAGTTTCTGGCTGGGATTGTTTTAAAGTTTGAATGTAGTAGGGCCTATGTAACTATGCTTTTATCAAAACATGTTGAATTGTGCAAGTAGAATTAGTGAATGTCACCTTCTGAAATTCTACTACAATAAAGTTGAGTAAAAAGGGACTCCCAAACCTATATTATTGAGAGCCTATGACTGAGTCATAAGTCCAACAAAGTTTACCTTATATGGTTCTCATTTTTCATGCAATCTCACCTCCTTCCATTTTTTTTTTACAGTATCTGTGGGTTTCCATCTCCATTTCTTTTCCAAGAACTCCCAGCACTATGCACAATTTTTATAATTCTCCACCATGTTAATTGTAACAGAAAGCATTTTGCATTAGCTCAGCTAACCATGTTCCAAAAACAGATGTTCTGTTTTATAGTGTACATGTATTGATTTATATATTAATATATTACAATATTTCATGCATATATATTAATTCTCATGACAAAATTTTGAGTGACATAAAAGGATAGGAAGAGGAAAGTAAAGATCTACCTTTTTTCCCTCCAATCAAATCCTTCAACTGGGGTCAATTGCTGTTAATACATAGTTTCCTGAACATTTGCATAACTAGGACAGTTGTACAGTAGGACAACATATCTTTTGTCACATGGCATTATGTCTTAGGGAACTTAACATGTCAGCTTATATAGACAGATTTCAGTCTTGTGATTGTGACACGTACAAAATAGGGCAAATATACTCTAATTTGTTTAGTCATTTCTCTATTGTTGAACACTTACTAAGGAGTTTTCCAATTTTGCTAGTTTCCATTGCAGTGTCAAAATAGATCCTATTAGATATTTGTTTCTAAAGCTAGCAGCAAAGGTACAGGTATTTACCTTGAGCTCACCTCTTATCTAAGTAAATAGCCTGTTAGGTAATGTGCCTGTGTATGAATAAAAACACATAGTAGAAATCAGCAAGGAAATCCTTCTTCTTAAACACTAGATGAGATTGCTTCAAGCTTTCAGTGCACACTTTCTTAAAAATCCTCCTCAGGATTTTAACAAATTATCAATAGGCTTATAATTTTGTAGTAATCCTCCTCCTACCTACCCCCATGCTTCCTCTGATTTAACTTAGTTTCAAAATTATGCAGCTGTTCCATGTGTAGGTTTCTTTTGCTAATTATTTTGGCCAGTCATGTAACAAACACAGCATTTTCCTTAGTGTTCATAAAAACAAAATTCTTACATATGCTATGTGTGTGTGTGTTCTTTTTTTATTATACTTTAAGTTTTAGGGTACATGTGCACATTGTGCAGGTTAGTTACATATGTATACATGTGCCATGCTGGTGCGCTGCACCCACTAACTCGTCATCTAGCATTAGGTATATCTCCCAATGCTATCCCTCCCTCCTCCCCGCACCCCACCACAGTCCCCAGAGTGTGATATTCCCCTTCCTGTGTCCATGTGATCTCATTGTTCAATTCCCACCTATGAGTGAGAATATGCGGTGTTTGGTTTTTTGTTCTTGCGATAGTTTACTGAGAATGATGATTTCCAATTTCATCCATGTCCCTACAAAGGACATGAACTCATCATTTTTTATGGCTGCATAGTATTCCATGGTGTATATGTGCCACATTTTCTTAATCCAGTCTATCATTGTTGGACATTTGGGTTGGTTCCAAGTCTTTGCTATTGTGAATAATGCCGCAATAAACATACGTGTGCATGTGTCTTTATAGCAGCATGATTTATAGTCATTTGGGTATATACCCAGTAATGGGATGGCTGGGTCAAATGGTATTTCTAGTTCTAGATCCCTGAGGCATTACCATTCAGGACATAGGCATGGGCAAGGACTTCATGTCCAAAACACCAAAAGCAATGGCAACAAAAGACAAAATTGACAAATGGGATCTAATTAAACTAAAGAGCTTCTGCACAGCAAAAGAAACTACCATCAGAGTGAACAGGCAACCTACAAAATGGGAGAAAATTTTCGCAACCTCCTCATCTGACAAAGGGCTAATATCCAGAATCTACAATGAACTCAAACAAATTTACAAGAAAAAAACGAACAACCCCATCAAAAAGTGGGCAAAGGACATGAACAGACACTTCTCAAAAGAAGACATTTATGCAGCTATGTGTGTTTTAACAGATCTTACTCAAGTTTTCAAGAGCCAGAAACATGTATATAACTGACCGTTGTAGCACTGCAAATACCTAAAGTTGTGCGTTAGCCAACCTCCTTAAAATCATAAAGTCCCTTGGCCTGGTCTGGATTCTAGCTTCAGTCTCCTGTCATCTGTTGCAGACTGCATTTCTACTTCTCTTTTCGTTTATTCTTCACTTCTTTTCTCTCTCCTCTGTTTCTTCTATTTCAGGAACAACAACAATAACAATAACATATTTCTCCCACTGCTCTACATGGAACATTTAAGCTCCCCTCGGCTAAACTGTCTAACTACAAATTTGACTCAACACACTTTGCAAACTCAAGGGCTGGGTAAAACATAAGTGTTTGAGTAGTAGCCCAGATGTAGTGGCCTACAAATGTCGGCCATTTGTAACGGCCTCACACGATTTAGTAGACAGAGATGGCGTCCTCTTCAATCTCTATCTGGTTGAGGGAGCAGGGAGCTCACAGTCTAATAATATACAGACCTGTTGAGACACCAATGGACTACCATGTAATGGAAGAAGAGTCGAGGGAACACTGAGTACGGTAGGATTAATTCTGCTTTGAGGCATTCCCAAAGACCGCCAAGAGGAGGCTATATCCAAAGATGAGTCACAGGTGAGGATGGATTTTTATGAAAGGTAGAAGCCCTGTAAATTTGAGAAGGAAAATACTCTGGGAGACATCTGCTATCCTGCTGATCAAGAGTCTACTCAGTAAAATTTCACTAGTTTTTTTTACTTCAACAATAAATCACCAACCTAATGTAGGTGGGCCCTACCATTCACAGCAAGTGCACACTACTGTTCAGGTAGACCCAAAGCAGAGGAAAACCAGAAATAGTGTCATTGCCGTTATATACCTACATTATATTACAATCCCTAGCTTCTATTTTTGAAATATTTTTTTTTCTGTCAACACCAGCAGTGAAAATGAGACTATGTGTACAGGTTAAACATGCTTTGAAGAGCTACAAATCTGGTAACAGAATAAGAAAAAATTTCAGATCTGAGAATAATTTCAGCTGTCTATCTGATTGATCAGGAGTCATGGCACAGAAAGGAAAAAAATAAGGTAAAATTAAGGAATATGTCCAGATGAAAGAGAAGTATCACATGCCTACCACTCCCTTTCTGCCCAAAGTGCCAACATCTCTTATTAAATAAATGCATTTTACTTTATTTATAGAAAAGGATACTCTTGAACTAGGAACTCCATTTCTATGATACCTGGGAACAGAATAAAAAACATAACTACAAAAACTACAATATAAAAGCTACTGTAGGAACAGAAAATATGAGTCAAAACATTTCAGCTGAAGAAATTCTTCCCCTCAAACCAATTGGGAAGTAAAATAAACTGCAATAAAACTCTCCAGACTGAATTAAATATCCTCAAATAAGCATCTGAAGATAATAAAATTCAAGAAATTTAACACTAAAGTAATATTTTCATCTAATCTATGTAGTTCATATTCCATGTCTAGAATCATATACTGCATTTAGTTTTTATATCTCTTTCACCTTCTTTATTCTATCAGCGTTTCTCTGCCTTTCTTTATCATGGCATTGGGAGTTTTGAAAAATTCAGGCTAGTAATTTTACCGGATGTTTCTTCATTTGAGCTTGATTGATGTGTTCTCATGATTAGACTCGGTTATACAGCTGCAAGTGGAATAATGCAGCAGTGATGTGGTGTCCTTCTCGGGGTACCATATCCCCAAATACAAGACATCTACATGCCTCTTATTGGTGAGGTTAATTTGCAGCAAAAGGTCAAGGTGTCATTTGAATTCTCCACTGTTTAGTCAGTACTTTTCTCCTTGTAATGAATAGCAGTCTGTGATGAGACACTTTGAGAACATGCAAGCAGCCTGCTTCTCACCCAGCTCTTCCCAAAGATAAGTATTCTCGTGATATTTCTTGCCTGAATTATTCTTTACCACCATGGTTGCAAATGGTATTCGCCACCCCCATCCTCCCCTCCCCCGCCACCCCATTACTACTCCTTTCACTTGTATCAGCTGGCACACTAATTGAAAGTAACGTTCTATTTCCCCTCTGCTTATTTATGTATGCATATATCTGTTTGTTTGGTTATTATAATAGATGAATAATTTCCTACTTCATTTAATCATCCTACTTTATTTAATCATTACAATCCATTGCAATCCTCATTGATTTTGATACTCAAATTGTCCCTAGATTTGGTCAGTGGGAACCCCTTCAAGCTATTGCCTATTTCTTTTTGGCATGTCCCCATTGTTTTCTTGAGCACTTCCTTTCTTTCTGGCACAAAAAGGTGTTCCAGATTCATCATGTACCTTCTTTGTCACAGCCTTGGAGCCAGACATTTCTCCAAGAGGCTCTTGTTCCTTTCAGTAGGGACAGGTATTAAAAACCATCTGGGGCCGGGCGTAGTGGCTCACGCCTGTACTCCCAGCACTTTGGGAGGCCGAGGCGGGTGGATCACGAGGTCAGGAGACTGAGACCATCCTGGCTAACACGGTGAAACTCCGTCTCTACTAAAAATACAAAAAAATTAGCTGGGCATGGTGGCGGGCGCCTGCAGTCCCAGCTACTCAGGAGGCTGAGGCAGGAGAATGGCGTGAACCCGGGAGGTGGAGCTTGCAGTGAGCCGAGATCGCGCCACTACACTCCAGCCTGGGTGACAGAGCAAGACTCAGTCTCAAACAAAACAAAACAAAACAACATCTGGGCACAAAGTTCACTTATGGGTCTTAAGGTATTAGTGCTTCTTTTTTGGGTAGAATTAGGAGAAAAATAATACATAGATATGTATATATATACACATACATACACACGTGTATATATATACATGCAAATATATATGTATATTGTGCATACATATATATCTGTCTCATACTGAGACTCTAGTTTCTTTGCTTAGCTACATTTGACTTAGGTGCCAATTTCAGCCAGAATTAGGAGAGGGAGAAGGGAGAGTGAGAGAGAGTGAGAGAGAGAGAGAGAGAAAAAAAAAAATCCTCAGGATCACTTATAAAGTAATTTCTAGAAGCAGTGAGTAGGAGTGGTTGCATTTTACTTCTGGACTCTGAGCATTAACTTTTCCCATTCATGTCTATGAAGATGTTTTCTGTTCAAATGCTAACCTTCAGCTGGGCTTCGATGTGGGGAGGGAAGAGTTTTCAATTCATCTGCACCCATTTGCTTTTCAATGTCTCCTGCATTTTACCATATCCTAGAAAACCCCTACCCATGTACAGATACCTGGTTTTTGCTCACTTAGCTTTAGAAATAAAAATTATAAGGTAGAATTGAAAAGATAATGTTTGAATAAATGGTTTAAGAATGCCCAGACCACCTAAAAGAAAAATGAGCACTATATAGATTATCTTATTATGACCACAGATCACTGTGATAAATAAGACTCCATGAACAAACCTTGAGTAGTACACTGTTCTGTGACCAATTCATTTGCCATTTCAAGATATCCAGCCACTCAAAGGATTTAAATCAGGAAGGATTTCACAGTATCTATGATACAGTCTTTTGTAAAACCACTTTAGATAGTCATTTTATTTTTTCATTTTATTTTTAGCAAGTACAGAACAGGTGGGAAACACAGCTTAGCTGGAATGGAACAAAGGAAGATTTGATAGTTTTTTAGAAGCTTTTACAATAGAATCTATTCTTTAAAGGACAGCATTATGAGAGAAAATAAGATTATAATGGATAAAAAGTGATCTAATGTTCATCATTGAATTTAGTGGGTATGTTACAAGATTATTTCTAAAATCTTTTGTAGATAAAACTAGATGACTTTCTTGATTCTGTGACTGGTATTACTCTATCATAATTTCTGAGCCCTTTACTAAAAATGTTTACTGAACTTACTAAAGGATATTATGTAAAAGACAGTGAGCTATGGTGCAAGATACTATGCAACATGCCCCCCTCAATATTATGACTACCTCTCCACCTATTTATATGTAGAATTTATATGGTGTAAACAGATTGGCAAATACTATAATTACTATAAAATGATTTTTCAAAATCTGTATTTGTATCTAACAAAAGACTAAAAAACAAATGTGTCAAAATAAAATGTTAGAATTTCATAAGTCTTTTGTGCCTAGAAATTGCTGAGATGTAAACCTTTTTTCATGAATGCTTTCTCTGCTGACTCCTCCTTCCCCTGAGTTGACGAGTACTCTGCCCCTTGTTCTTTGTGCTAAACACAGACAAGAGTGGTGGCCCCTGATAAATAACTAGATTACAAACATTATTGCATTATCTTTCATAGAAGCCTTAACATTCAGGGGATGGTAATTCATAGGTAGATATAAAATATATAAGGAAACAACAAAGAAGACACTTCTGTAGAGCTTAGAGAGAGACTAAGAAAATCTGAGAAAGAGGAGTATAAGAGAAAACAGGAAGCTGACTTGGGATGGGGGGAAGAGCCCTAAAAATGGGTCTGAATTACAGGGACTGCAGCCAGATGAGTGGGTGATCCTGTGTTAGAACCATCCTGAGGCTCACTGTCTTCTCACTCTGGACCAAGGTGACCATTCACTCCATCACCTGTGATGAGGATTTAGCATTCTTTTCAGCCATCTCACCTTGATTGACCAAGAGAAGGTTTCCTTTTCTTTACCTCTGCCTCATTTTATTTATTTATTTTTTTATGTAGACTTGTCTCAAAGCAATGTTCAGGTCAATATAAAGTCCAAGAAAATAAGAGACTTTGGACACTCATTAGGCTGAGGAGAGCTCAATTTACTAAATTTATTTTTTTCAGTAATTATTCTTTCATACATTATTTTCTGAAAACTTTCCTCTCCCCTATCCTTTGGGGAATCCAATTACCCTTATAATAGGCCACTGAAGTTATCCCACTGATGTTCTCTTCCCATATATTTATTTTTTCATTTCAGTTGCTTTCTATTGTTAAACAATTACATTCACTGTTTTTTTACTACAATTGATAATCTGCTTTTGATTTCATCTCTACAGTTTTCATCTAAGACATGATGTTTCCTTGTTTGATTAATCTCTAGAAGTTGATTTCACATTTTGCTCTCTCTTCCATGTTTCTCATTTGATGCTTTCCTTTACCTTTTCAAACATAGATACCTGTTTTAATGTCATTATCTACTAATTTTAGCAACGTGTCATTGTGAGTCTGTTTCTCTTGATTTTTTTTCTCTTCAATATGGTATCATATTTTTCTGCTTGTTTGTATGCCTGATATATTCTTATCAAATGCTGGACATAGTGAATTTTACCTTATTTTGTGCCGAATAGTTAAGCTTTATTCTGGGATGCAGTTAAGTTACTTAGGAATAATTTGCTTGCGTTGAAGTTTGCTTTTAAGCTTTGCTTGGTAAGACCAGAGCACCTTTTAGTCTAGGGAGAATTTTTTCCACATTAGTGAGACAATACACTTCTGAGTATTCTAACTGATTCAAGGTTTTTTGACTCTGGCTAGTGGAAACACAAACTACTTATGATGCTATGTGAATTCTGGAGATTTTTCTGCCTTCCCTTTCTAGTGGTTTGTACCCTGCCCTTGATCGTTTCCTCACATACTTGTGTTGATCAGTATTAATTGGAAGATTCAATAAATCTGTACATCCCCTGAAAATCTCTGAAGCTCTCTCTGTGGATAGTTTTCTGATCTCTGTTACTCTTCTTTGTGAAGTCTTGCTGACTTCTCTTTCCCAAATTCTCATCTCTGACATGGAGAACTAAATTTTGCAATCGATTAGCTAAATTTAATGATCAGATTTCTCTTCAGAAAAATCATTTTTGTCAGGAATCTGGAAAGTGAATTGGAATGGATAGGACTATTAGGAGATACTACATTCCAGACTAAGAATTTTGGGGGTCGTAACCAAGGCAGTACAGTGAGAGTGGGGAGGTGGTCATGGATTAAACTGCTCTTTTTGGGTGGGGAGAATAGACAAGAGTTGGTTATCAATTAGTTGTGAGGGGAAAATAGAAAGTCAGGTTGGCTCCAAAGCTCTTGGCCCAGGTGACTGGTTGAGAATACGGGCTATTCATCAAAATAGGAAACATAGGAAGGAAAAGACAATGTTGAGCATGGAAGAAGGATAATGAGTTCAGTTTTCCACGTACTAAGTTTTAGATGCACGTGAGATATCCAAGGGAGAATATATAATCAGTAATTTGGTTTCATTCAATTTTCACTAAGTACCTACCATATGTCAGGCACTTTGGTAGGAACTTGGAAGTGAAGGATAAATAAGATGCAGTACCTTCCATTCGTGTGGAATACAGGAGATATGAAGCAATATATAAAATTACGGACAATGGTTGTAAGTATAAAAGTTAGGAATAAATAAAGCCCCCAGTACATTTTCAGAGACTTATGACCTGCACTTAATACAACATTCAGGTTAGCTCTGACTCTCAGCCAAAGTAATTTTCTGCTTCTGCTTCAAAGTATAAGGTAAGAAGCAAGGAGGGAACTGCTAAAGGCAGTTATATTTTCAGTAGTGTGAAGTGATTGCTGACAACTTGACAAGAAGGGCCAAGAAACAAAATACAGAGAGCATAGCTACGCTCAGCAAAATAAGTCCTATATATATCAAAAACTCTTTGTTTACTGATGTATTGCAAGATGATAATGATTTTTTACGGTGATACCTCTTCACCATCAAGGAGAATTTTCACTATATCTACTTATTTTATGCAATAAATGTTTGGTCAAAAAATGAATGCTTAATATATTTTTATAACTTGATTTCTTACAAATGCTTAGTTGACTCATTAAAACACAAAAATATATTTCTACAATACCACAAACTAAGAATACTGATTGGAGATCATCCAAACTTCAGTAGAAAGGTTAATTAATAAAAAGGCAGATGTGAGGCCCACATAGAACAGTGAAGCCTTCTGGAGAAAGAAGAGTAGGTGACATTTTAATTTATTCACTCTATTTATAATTCATCTCCATTTGTCTTCGCCATTATTGGCCATGGCCATTGTGAAAGACCTGACTTAAAAATGGTCATGATCATTTTATTTCTTCAAATTTACCATTATCTCCTTTTATTCTGCATTGATTTGAGGCCTAGAATTCCAAGAAATTCAATGCAGGTGAAAAATTCAAGTGACTGAGGATGTGCTTTATGTTTAGGAATGTAAGCTTGGCAGAAGGAAGGCGTTAAGCCTGGTAAAGATGTGTATCACTTCTAATTATCTACAATTGATAAAGGGCTGGATGTATTCAAAAGCCTTCTGCCCGAGATCTGTTGAGAACTCTACCAATAATCAGACAGGGTTATAGTGTGAATTTTTCTCCCAAAGTTCATGTGTTAGAAACTTAGTCCCGAATGCTACAGTGGTGAGAAGTGGGACCTTTAGGAGAGAATTAAGGCATGAGGGCTCTGGCCTTATGTACAGATTAATGCCATTGTCTTGGGAGCCGGTTCCTGATAAAATAATCAGTTTAGCTGCCTTCCCTTCTGTCTTGTGAACACACTCTCTTGCCCTTTCAACTTCTACCTTCCACTTCCTGCCATAAGATGAAGAAAGAAGAAATCCCTGTCTACATGCTGGTGCCATGCTCTTAGTCTTCTGAATTTCCAGAAATATGAGCCAATAAATTTCTGTTTTTTAAATAAATTACCCAGTCTGTGGTATTCTGTTATAGCAGCATAACATGGGCTGAGACAGATGGATAGAGAGGGAACCAAGATAAACTTATATACTCTGTTTACGAAATATCAAAAGAACGTGTATATCCTACCTCATTTAAAGATAAGTATATACACATATATACATAGTACATGTTAATTTCAGAAATGTTTAACAATGTAATAAGAAAACAGAAAACATCAGATAAAAGGTTTATCTGTGAATAAAATAATTATAAGAACTATAAATGTATATTTCAGGTAAAATATTTTACTGTGTCAAAATATTTTAAAATATTTAAGAGTAAAATATTTTATAATATGTTAACAGTAAAATATTTTAAAATGGAAAAAATAATAGAAAATATAAAATACAGCAAATGTCTTTTTCTGACTGATTACAGGGCAAGAAAAAGAGCTGAATTAAGAAAGCATTATAAGGAAACTTAAAATATTAAAGGAATGCTACAGGCTGCATTAGAACCAACGGAGAAAAGAATTAAAGCTATAGAATAATAAGTGATGTCAATGAAAATGTAGGACTCTTCCTTAGGATCCAAGGGAAAGGGGCAAAGAGGCAATGAGAGATAAGAAAGAAAAGGATATATATGGGGGAATAAAAATGTATACCCCAGGTACACAAAATCAGTGTTTCTAGAAAATAGAAAAAGAATAAATGAGGAGCTAAGAATAAATGAAAAGATAGTTTTCAAAGTGTACAAAATTTCGGTTAGGCAGGATGAATAAGTTTTGGAGATCTAAGTACAGAATGGTAAGCATAGTTATAAAAGTAAAATTGGAGAAAGAATCGAATACTCAATATAAGAAAACTCTCTCCACCTAAGGAAATACTGATTCAGGATATCAAAGCAGATTACTGAATAAAGACAAAATAAATAAAAAGAATATCACCAAGATACAAAAGGCCTCACCTTTTTATTCTCATCACTTCCCCTATTCCAGAATAGATACCAGAGTTCACCAGTATTTTGAGTAATACCTATCCAAACTTCAGGAACAGATAATTCCCTTGATAATTAAAATGTTTCAGAACATTTGCAGAGAAAGGTAATCTTGGAATTATGTTTATGAAGTCAGCATGACATTGTAATTAAATTCCAATTAAAAACCTGAAAATTTATGCCAAAAAGCACCAAATAAAATATTAGCAAATTGAATTGAGCATTCCATTAAAAGATAGTCCGTAACCAAGAGAGATTCATGGCAACAATGTGAGGATAATTTTGTTAGTGTTTTTCATCATATATTACTAAATAAATATCACAGTATTATCTCCAAAGATACCAAAATGCATTTGAAAATATTAACATTTCTTAATTTCAATGAGTTTAATAAAGAATATGGTATGTCTTAACATAATAACTACACATACATATGCAACCCATGTACACAAAAGAACACATGCACACATATATAAAACATATATATGGCTATATGAAGACAGATAAACATTACGCTTAATGGTGAGAAACAATGCATTCTCATTAACAAGGAAACAAATTGTGTGTGTCTCCTATTAAAGCCATTAGTAATTTTTTAAAGTACTGATTAATATGGCAGAAAACATAATAGGTAAAAACTTTAAAAAGAAAAAAGCAACATCATTACTAATTGATAAATTTGGATTGAAGAAGTTGAAAAATTGTGAAAATCAATAGAAAAGTATTATAACAAAAACTTTCAGAATGTTTTGGGAAAAATTAATATACAGAAAGATATAAATAAAAGTACATAAATGAGTAGCCAATTAGAAAATAAAACATTTATACTTAACACTTATACCTTTAATACCCAAGTGAGCAGGTTTTTATATACCTTTTTTCTGTGCAAAAAACTAAATATTTTTTAAAACCCTCAGCTTTTCTTAAATTAATCTATACTTTTATAAGTAGCTAAGCTAAAATGCCAGTTTATATCTTTTTTTTTTGACTCAGATAATCTGATTCTTAACTTTTTATCAAAGAGCAAATTTCAGGAAATGTATTTATACCGTTTGGGTGTGTCTCCACCCAAAACCCATCTTGAATTGTAACTCCCACAATTCCCACACGTTCTCATGATAGTGAATGAGGAGATCTGATGGTTTTAAAAAATGGGAGTTTTGGCTGGGCGTGGTGGCTCACGCCTGTAATCCCAGCACTTTGGGAGGCCGAGGCGGGTGGATCACCTGAGAGGTCAGGAGTTCATGACCAGCCTGGCCAACATGGTGAAACCCCGTCTTTACTAAAAATACAAAAATAAGCTGGGCATAGTGGTGCATGCCTGTAATCCCAGCTACTCAGGAGGCTGAGGCAGGAGAACCGCTTGAACCCCGGAGACAGAGATTGCAGTGAGCCAAGATAGCGCCATTGTGCTCCAGCCTGGATGACAGAGCAAAACTCTGTCTCAAAAAACAAAACAAAACAAACAAACAAAAAAATGGGAGTTTCTCTGCAGAAGTTCTCTTTGCTTGCTGCCATCCATGCAAAATGTGACTTGCTCCTCCTTGCCTTTCACCAGGATTGTAAGGCCTCCCTAGCCACGTGGAACTGAGAGTCCAACTTAAACCTCTTTCTTTTGTAAATTGGCCAGTCTCAGGTATGTCTTTATCAGCCGTGAGGAAATGGCTTAATCACAGATATATTTGAAAAACAAAACTAATAGAATTGTTTATCTATTTTATCTGATATAAATACAGTTTACAGTCCTAGTAATTACATATTTTCTTAGTGCATACATATATAGATTAATAGGGCAGAATTGGAATATATAAACTATACAGGTAGCTTGTGTGTGTGTATGTATATGTGTGTGTGCATATATATATGTGTATATATATATATATATATATATGTGGAATATTTTCTCCTCCAAAAGAATAGAAAAGCTATGGATAATGTTAGAAATAACTTGCACGTTGCAGTCGTATGGAAGATTTACCAAAAAAAATAATTCTGGGAGTTATGAAGAATAAAAATATTTTGAAGATGCTATTAGAAAATCAAATGCCAAAATGATGCTTATGAAATTTCTGTCTTCAAGTCTATCTGAGCTTAATCATCAAATATATAATTAGAATTCAGTCATTGGCTCTTTGTATTCATCATTCAAATTGGCCAAAGAGCTACATAGAGAAAAGGGCATAATTTTATTTAATTTCAATGCTTTTGTCATCTTCTGTTGCCCTGACTTTTGTGTGTAAATATTTATTCTTTCTCAAGTCCAGCAACAGATATTACCTTTTGTCTCTGTTAGGCCAGTTTAGTCTATCTAGAGGGAACTGTTTCCAAACAGGGACAGGTTGAGTATTTCTTAATCAAAATGCTTGGGACCTGAAATGTTTCAGATTGAGGATTATTTTGAATTTTGGAATATTTGCATATACATAATGAGATATCTTGGAATGAGACCCAAGTCTAAACAAAATTGATTTACATGTAGCCTCATGTTAATTTTAATTTTCTCTTGAAAGCACTGAATAAACTGTTTTGTGCACCTGTGCTTTGGCTGTGATACATCGCATGAGGTTAGGTGAGAATTTTGCACTTGTGGCATCATATTGACACCCCCAAAATTTCGAATTTTGGACCATTTTAGTTTACAGATTAAGGATGCTCATCCTTTGCCAGAATTCTACAGAAACTCAACCATATTTTTATTATTAGGTTGGCGCAAAAGCAGTTGCAGTTTTTGGCAATGGAAAACACTGTAACTGTTTTTATACAAACCTAATAGCTACAGTTTTTATTATCCCCCTCCTTTGATGTACAGAGAACAATATATTATTCTTCTGATATCATCTTCCATATGGCCAAAATATTTAGGAATTTCACATGGTTGTGTTTCTCAAAGCAAATGCATTTCTGGACAAATTTTACATTTATTACATAGCTAGCATGTTAACCTTGATATTATATCATGTTTTAAATTTTGTTCCCTCTGATTTTAAACTGAATTGAGAAAAAAAATAAACTTGGCTGTCTAGAAATGCAAAGAGTAAATGGGAAGTAATATGATATTGCACACTTAAAATATTTAAAAGCAGGCTTCTACTGTTATTTTTTAGCACAAATCAAAAGTGACAATTTTCTTTCTTTGAAAAATAAAATTTTACATTTTAATAACATTGACAAGCATTTTCTCATTTAATTATCTCAACGATTTTAATGTAAAGTATTTCATTTTTATATAAAAATATAAAAAGATCTTATGAGTTTATGAAAACCTCACAGATAGTATATGATATATTTTATGTTTATGTTTTATACTCCAAAGCCAGTGGCTTTTGTGTTCAAAAATGACATTCGATTAGCAAGAAGAAATGGTAATTTTACTATTACTTATCTGGAATGGTAGCATATTCCAGATAAGTAAAGGAGAATCAGCCTCATCTTTAATATTGCCAACTAGATTTGTGTCATAAAGAGAAATTAGGGGACTAAAAAGGAAACATATAAGCATTGTCTTTCCAGATTGGAGATGGATAAGTATATAAGGACTGACATAATACTGCATTAACAACAGTTTTGCTAGGACAAGTTGAGACACCAGAGGCCAGCATATGGATTGTGACTGAACTATTCAAATTATTCCTAATAATGGAATCAGGTTTAAAAAAATTTTTTATTATACTTTCAGTTCTAGGATACATGTGCAGAACATGCAGGTTTGTTACATAGGTATACACGTGCCATGGTGGTTTGCTGCACCCATCAACCCGTCATCTACATTAAATGTTCTAATGTCTCTGCTTTGATTACAAGACATTTGATTATCTTTTATAGAGTTTTCATTTATTATGTCAGAAAGTATTTTCTTAATTTTCAAATAGTTACTATTAAAAAGGTTTTGCCCAACAATCCATTTCAATTCAGCTGAAAAGTAAATGAGTAAAAAATAATAATGTGCTAATAAGAATAGTTTGCATTTTGCTTTTCTCATGTAGGTGTACATTATCTTTTAAAGATAGGAAACAAACTTGCAATTATATATTATTTTAATATTTTATTATATTGCCAATTCTTTCTGTTCCATTTTCTGCCTTGGTATTATTACCACATCTGTTACTTCCCTGTGCTTTCAGGTTAAATACATTCATACATTCACGATTACGTAGAACAGTCCATTGCCTATAATAATTGCTCATTAAATGTTGGGTGTGATAGTAGTACTGACTGTCATATTTTATCAAATCAATCTTTCTCATTCTATAGGAGTCAAATACATTCTGTTTTCTACTTTAAGTGTATAAATTCCTGCCCTTTTGGTCTTCCTTTCTTCAAATATCAAATAAAAATGGAATATCTCCTGAAGGTTCTCCACTAGAATAGTCAACATCTCCTGCTCCTGTTGCTATCAAATGCACTCTTTTATCGTTGTTTTTCCTCAAGGCTTCCTTTAGGACCTGTCATCAAGTATTTGAAGATAATCAGAATCAACAGAATTACAGAAAAATCGCTAACCTCTGCATTATATTGTCAATATTTGTCAAGAATGAAGTCCTATTGATTTTTTTTTGTACTCATGACTTGTGTATTTTCTAGTTCTACATTTGTTTCCCCAAACATCTGTCACAGGAGTCATTTATCTAATGGCTCAGAAACAGCTTAAGTTGGGAAAGAAGAACGGAATCATTGCTGACTCTTCTTCAGGTGCTCACACTTTATGACTTAAGATACTCTGTACTTTAATATTTATTATTTGCATTATCTTTGTGAAACTCATGATTATATATTCGAAAATGTTTCTATGCATTGTTTATCTACTATCTTACTTTTTTGCTTTCCTGGGCTTATTTATGACAGTACAAGTTAAATCACCATTTCTTATAATGTACAGGTAAATGCTAGATACACAAATAAGGAACCGCGGCAACAGCTAGGAACAAATGAAATAATCCCCCCACAATACAGACAGAGATGACAAGTAGTCACCAGCAGTTAAGACCTGATACCTTCATCTATGTGTCACAAAGAGGAGGCAAACTGCCTTAATATCTTCAACACCCTTGTCTTCCTCCAGTCAAGTTAATAATAGGACTAGGCTGTTATGGGAATGACACATCTATTGCTACTATAGGTTGCCTTTGTTTAACTGGAAAGGATTTGAGTTACCATTTCTAAAACTAAGTGAGGTAAGCTCCAAAAGAATCCTGGTAGAAATTCAGGGTACTTTCAGAAGAAACTCCTGGCATCTCATTCCTTGGATCTTTCTCGTTGTTCCAATAGACTTATTCTAGGGCCACTGTGGAAGCAAAAGCCATTCTCCAAAGTTACAAGATAGGCGTAGGTGTATGTGTGACCAAGGAGACATCCTACCTTTGGTTTATAATGGGAGGAAGATCAGGAGAACAGTGCACAACAAGAGAGCTAGAAAGAAAATTGGTGTAACGTGACTGAAAAGAAGATGGGAAATGCTTCCCACCACTTCTTATTTCTTTGAAGCCCTCTGGTGATATAGAGACATCCTCAGAACTTCTTCTAGTTCCATGAGAGGAGCAGGAAAATTAGAAAAATGACAAATCTATGGGTATAGTCCAATGTCAGCCAGGCCAATGAGAGTCTCAACTCGGAGAAGGAGTCAGGGGTTTGAACACTTGGAGAAGGCAGATGGGTGTTTCAGCTTCCCATCTAAAGTGTCTTCAGAGATGAAGGGGGATGAAATCCATGCCCACCATTTTAAATCGTACCAGTTTAGTCACAGTGATGCTGGGGACACGTTGCCACCAAAGGAGCACATGAAGATTTTGCTTTCTCCTTTGTCCCTTCTCCCTGTTTTGGATACCTGAGAGCTAGGGCTGAGCATGGACACGGGAATGTCTCAGAGTCAGAATCCTCAACACTGCTGACCCCCAAAGCAGCCCAGCTAATGGCTCTAGCCTGGGGAAAAGAAAGTATGAAATTTGAAATAGGATTAATTCAGGCTGAGGCAGGAGAGTGGCATGAGCCCGGGAGGCGGAGGTTGCAGTGAGCCAAGACTGCCCCACTGCACTCCAGCCTGGGTGACAGAGCGAGACTACATCTCAAAAAAAAAAAAAAAAAAAAAAAAAAAAAGAAAGAAAAAGAAAAAGAAAAGAAAATAGGATTGATTCTCAAGAATAGATTTAAAAAGACCTGATATATAGTTTCTTTTTGACTATTAGGTGGTGAAGGAAGTTTGGCTGCAGCCTCTGTCCCTCTCTTTTCTAATTCCTGTGGCTGGATCTCCTTTACTTAGCACTTACTTTTAGTGTTGGGTGTGTGGAATGAATTTTAGGCTGACGCCAGGAAGATACTGCTTATGGTTTAAAATACACTCAAATGAGAAAAGTATTCAACACCTTCAGTCTAGGTATTTCAGTCTACCACACCAATGTCATATTAGAGAGCAGTAAAAAGAAAAATATACTGTCCAGGAAGAAAATATATGCCATTGGCTACAATTCATTCGTTGGTGTCTGTTTCAGGAAACCTAGACACTTTGGACAGGCTGTAGGAGGGGAAATATATACTGATTAAGATAGAAAGATAGGAGAACATATATTTGTATGTTCATTTCAGAATAGCATGTATAATAAAGCCAAATTGTGGTACATCACTCCTAATTATTACTTAGCAACTGCTCCTTGGATTTAGTATAATTTGTTGAGGCTGTAAACAAAAAAGAAACCTTTCGTATAATTCCAAATCAATAAATATGTCTCATCATGGACTGCTCATGGAGGTTTTATTGCTAATGCCTGTAGAAATGCCATATTTCATTTTATGAATTACAGTAAATATGTTGTAGTACAGCAACAGTAGATATTAGTGCATATTTTAGAAGTTCAGAAGTCCTTTAATACATTATAATAAAGCAACTCTGCATGTATGTGATTTTACCTGACCACTGATTACCCCAAAAGCACGGTGGCTAAGGGATGAAACTTGATGATGAAAAGCTGTGTAAAGTGCAACCAATAAACAAATCCAAGCTGTAGTATGGTTCTATAAACTATAGCTGCCACGCTGAGTAATTATGCCATTGCAGAAATGATAAATAATGCCATGCTCTCTTCATTGGGAAAATGAAGTATTTCTTGCCCCTCAAATTGCTAAAGGTGAAACCTGCTTTCTGGAACCAATCTGTTAGAAGGAAAATAGTCTGACAAGATAATTCTTCTAAAAGGACTACAGGTTTGGCTCTATGGCATGAAAATATTTAGTTTCTAAATTTTACCCACATTCCTTGTGACTTAGTAAGAAGGAAAACTAAGGCCCAACTGAGATTGAGAGGAAGATGTTTTAAGAAGTTAGAATTTTTAAATAATATTTATTATGATTGGGATTCTTAGCTTCATTCAATCAATGACAATAATTTTTTACTTCTGTAAGAGGAAAACATAATATGTTATTATTTGATGTTATAGAAGGCAAAATATGAAATAATGAAAAGCAAAAATGTACAAACCATTTATGTATGTGTATTTCATTATATACTGAAAATTCTATAAAGCTACCAGTAAGTCTAAGCTTTCAACCACCCATTAGCATTATATTTGTTGAAATAATTGTCAAATATTATAGGAGAGTTTTACTCCTATCTTCTTTCCATACCTGATTATTATAATTACACATGTATATTAGTATAATTACATGACAGAACTTCTAAGTTCTTGTCTAAGCTGGGCCACCTTTAATCCAACCCAGCATTAAATTAGCATCCCTTGCAAAAGTACATGAGGCTCTAAAAAGAGACTCAAAATGTAGACAGTTCTTTACGAAAGATCTCTTGAGAAAGCAGCAATGAGGCCTCCATAAGACAGCACCCAGTGCACCTGCTTACAATCCTCTTTAGACATCTCTTTCTATCCCCAACGTTCACCACACATGCCAATGCTCATATTCCCTCCACATTTAAAACTCCCTCATAGCACATGAGTGCCCTCTTGCCCTCTCACCTCTAGACTGTGTTCGTCTCTATCCCCTTAAAATTCCATGCTGCCAAGTCAAGAGCCTCCCCACCGCATGAGTCTCTTGGAACATGAGATCCATATCCTTCCTTGACTGCTCTGTTTGGGTTCCTGAGGAATGAGAATCCCCCTTCAAACCTAATATTTTCAATGAAATTAATAATATTTTCCTCCCAGGAGATTATAGTTCTGCATTTGTTCTCTTTAAATTATTTTTAGCTTCATCAGAAGTATTACTATATAATCTGAGTATTGTAAGTATAGAAAAAGTTATTATATAATTGTAAAATACAATTCAAAATAAATGATTTACTTCAATTGATTGAACTGGTATGGTTATGATTAAAGCAGGAGACATTTTCATTGCAATGAGATGGAAAAGTATTAGCAGGTCTTGGGAATCTTTGATCTGGTTCCTATGGCTGTCACAGGCTCCTGAAAAAGTTACATAGTGAGGACACAATGAACAAGGAGACAGTTTTAATTAAGGCTTTGACCCATGTGACCACCTCACTCTGGCATACTTGGTGACATCACCTTTGAGTCTCAAGGATGCCTCTGTCCCTTGGACCAAAAGCTTAGATAATGTGTCCTATGCCTACACTTAATTTTGACTTTTGGGTTTTAACCACTCCTAGGATGAAAAAAGGCAAGTAGCAATTACTTCAAGGAACAGACTGCTGAAGGAAGTAGAGTTTTTCTTCTTAAAGCTGGGAGCAGCTGAATTATGTTCACTAAGAATATCCTCCCAAGTCCTAAAAGGTCTTCGTTAGTTGAGTAGGGGGAAGCTGGCAGAAGGCTCAGCAGCAAATTGCACCAGGACAAATTTACTTGTTCTTTTCCACTGAACTCCACATTGATAGCCCAAAGTTTCTATCTTTGACCTGTATCATCTTTCTTGAGTTCACGCTATACATTAAAATGTGCAACTTATTAATATAGCTATTTCCTAAAAGTATTTCATCATTAATCAGTTTTCAACTCAGATGTTATATAGTCAGTAACAATTTCCTGGTGGTCCTCTGCAACATTTTTTAAATGACCAAAATAGTCATATATCCCAATTGATGTAAATTTTACAGTATTATGCATACTTTTTCTGGACATATAACTATAGAATCTGAGTTATGAAAATCAAAGAAACTAATTTAATATGTGAATTCCTATCAATGAACATTTTAAATACCTTGTATTAGTAAACTTGTATTCAAAATAATACCACAGATTATATACCCAAATTAATGTAAATTCGCAGTGGACAACATTATATTGTCAAAATCACACTGACACAGAATCTCAGAAATAGAAGCTTCCTATCAGAAGGTTAATTTTTTCTGGATATAATACAGCAATAATAAAAAGCAAGCTCTGGATTAGATAGAAATTCAGGGATTTAAATCCTGGGGATTGTGAATCTAAATTTATGTTAAATATAAGTACATGCTATTGTATTCATGTGTTCCTTGCAATTCTGCACATCTTACAAGTAGGGACACTGACTGCCCTTTAGACTACCTCGTGAAGGATATTTGCATAGTAAGCCCTGGAAAGCCAAGTGTATTTCTCCAGAACAAAGACCAAGTTGGCTTAGAGCCTTAGAGATTGTGTTATGTCTCCCCGCAGAGAAGAAGCAGGTGTACCTCCTGTTATAAAAGCTGTGGGTTCCCTAAGCTTAGAGTTTCTTTCCTGTAATCAAACTCATTGTGTCAGCATGTGCCATCTGACCATCTTCATACTGAATTGGGTAAAGTGGGGCTTAGAGAACCAATGCAAAACATGCTGGTATTCTGTCTCCTGTTATTGTTGTGAGAGAACTGTCTCATCTTCTGCCATCATTCATAAATCTGTGGTTGGATAACTTGCAAGAAGGGTAAAATCTCAGAATATTCACAGTTTTATATATGCATCATACTGAAAAATGTGTGAATGGACATGGCAGAAGTAAACGTTTGGAAAAGTTTCCATTAAAGGGTTTGCCTAGATTCAAGGACATTTTTCACTAGATTTAAATTTGAACAGGCTGGGCGCAGTGGCTCATGCCTGTAATACCAGCATTTTGGGAGGCCGAGGCAGCTGGATCATCTGAGATCAGGAGTTTGAGACCAGCCTGGCCAACAGGGCAAAACCCCGTCTCTAATAAAAATACAAAAATTAGCAGGGCATGGTGGCACGTGCCTGTTATCTCAGCTACTAGGGGGGCCAAGGCAGGAGGATCGCTTGAACATGCGGAGGTTGCAGTGAGCCAAGATTGAGCCACTGCACTCCACCCTGGGCAACAGAGCAAGACTTCATCTAAAAAAAAAAAAATTACCAGCCTGGCCAACGTGGGGAAACGCCGTCTCTACTAAAAATAGAAAAAAAAAAAATTAGCCGAGCATGGTGGTAGGCACCTGTAATGCCAGCTACTTGGGAGGCTAAGACAGGAGAATCGCTTGAACCCGGGAGGCAGAGGTTGCAGTGAGTCGAGATCGCGCCACTGCACTCCGGCCTGGGCAAGAGCAAAACTCTGTCTCAAAATAAATAAATAAATAAATAAATAGACACTATCAGTAGACTTTCTAAGGGAAATGACTAAGAATAATTGCATTCCTGAAAAATTTACTATGCTCAGAAGCAACTATTTCACTGGTTTTTTTTTTAATTTGAAAACTATTTTTAGATGTTTAGTTATGCAACATTTCTTATAATGTTCATTTCAGCAACAGTTTTATCTCACATCTGAAAATATAGCTTGATCCTTACTAAAGAAAAACAACTTCAAGATTTGCCGTAACAATCCACTAACGTAACTTGCAGACAAAGGAAACTTTGATTCAAGAATTGTTAATAATAAACTAGCTTTTTTCTCTCATTTTAATAATGTAAGAATTACTTGTTATCTAAAAATCACTTTTGATTTTAAAATGCAGTGTATGAGAGAAGGCTGTGAAGCATGTGCAGGTGTTTGGAAGTGGTGATACTGTAGGGCGAGAGACTTCTACAGCCCTCACAGCTGTTCAGCAATTTCTTCCTTCACCTCTAGTTGACTATAGCAGCCTATGTTCCAAAAATATTTAACTCTCCCAAGTCTTCATTGCAATCCCTTCTCACATGGAGCAGATGAGCCGTGCAACCACTTCACTCTTTTACTGACAACATTGAGTCTTTCTGCAGTCTTGCTCTTTACCTAAACATTTTTTCTGTCCCTGTTCATATAACTTTTCACTTTTCTTTTTTTTTTTTGAGATAGAATCTCACTCTGTCACCCAGGCTGGAGTGCATTGGTGCAATCTCAGCTCACTGCAACCCCCGCCTCCCAGGCTCAAGCCATCCTCCCACCACAGCCTCCCTAGTAGCTGGGACCAAAGTAAAAAAAATATAACTTTTTACTTTTCTGTTATCTCAGAGGAAAAAATATTTCTCCTCATTTTCCTGCCTGAACATTTCATTCCTTTCTTCTTCCCTCAGACCTCATTATTTTCTCTTTTTTGCCACATTCTCGCTGAGGTGCTAACTCACTTCTGCCAAGTGTTTTTAGAGTTATAAAACTGGCTCTTCCAGCATTGGCCCATCGTCTACTTTCAGGTTAGATAAGAGTATAATTTCTCATTAAATTTGATAAGACACTGATGATGATTTTTTAAAAAGAGTAGTTGGCATATTATCGTGGATTAGTAAGGGCCAGGCATGGTGGCTCATGCCAGTAATCCCAGCTACTCAGAAGACTAAGGAAGGAGGACTGCCTGAGCCCAAGAGTTCAAGACTACAGTGGAGCTGAGACTGCACCACAGCACTCCAGCCTGAGTGACAGAGTGAGAACCTGTCTCAAAGAAAAAAAAAAAATCAATCAATGGAATAGTACAAAATGTTAGAGAGTAGCATAGGAGAGTAGGGTGCCTCATCTCGTGTTAATCCAGGCACAACATTCGAGGTCCTAGTAGGGAACAGATAACACACTCAGAGTTTTAATAACAACATTTTAATAGGGGAACTATTTATAAAGTTGTAGAAAGGTTGAGGGAAAACAAAAATGGAGCGTGCAGCATCTGGTGTGAGCAACAGAGCAACTATAACCATCCCTGAACCTAAAGAGGGAAACAGAAATGGAGGTTTCAGAACCCAGACCTGTGGCGATGTAGCTGAGGACAGACCTCCAGGAGGAGCTGGGTCTTCAGGACAGGAACAGCGCCACTGCTAACCCAGAGCCTGGCAGGGACAGGGTCAGAATAACCAATGCCTCAGCTACTATTTCCTCCATACTTTCTTCTGCTGATGGTGCTAGACAGAACCAGAGCCAGAGGGCTGGAAGCTGTGGCAAACCATCCCACGGGCAAACAGGAAGGGTTGGAACCAGATAGAGAATGGACATGGAGGGGGAATGAGAAGGTACTGAAAGCATTAGTCGAGGGGAGCTTTCAGGAAGATACACAGAGAGCTTGGTGTATGTTCTATTATTATTATTATTATTGTTGTTTTTGTTGTTGTAGTTGAGTAATATGTAGGGACTTGGACCTGATTCATGCTTTCAAAGCTTAAAGGCCAGAGACTGGCTTGAGCTGGAGAGTGCAGAAATATTTATTTATTTATTTAGTGACAGGGTCTTTCTCTGTTGCCCAGGCCGGAGTGTAATGGTGCGATCTCAGTTCACTGCAACCTCGGCATCCTGGGTTCAAGCAATTCCCATGCCTCAGCCCCCATGTAGCTGGGATTACAAGCGCCCGCCACCACACCCAACTAATTTGGGAATTTTAGTAGAGACAGGGGTTCCACCATGTTGGCCAGGCTGGTCTTGAGCTCTTGACCACAGGTGATCCCCCACTTTGTCCTCCCAAAGTGCTGGGATTACAGGTGTGAGCTACTGTGCTTGGCCAAGAAATATTTCCTTAGGAGTGAAATGCTTCAGTATCTCCAGAAGTCTGGGCAAAAGTTCAGTCACGTTTTCTGTGGGCTAGATGTTGGCCTCGCAGAAAAAATATGGTTGAATTTATCTTTACTAAAAGGAATTTTACCCAAGGAGATGACTGGAGATAACTGTAACAGAGGCACGACCTCTGGCAGCTAAGGCTTGAGGCCAATTCATAAGCATCTTGCCAGATATGGGGGCTGAGGATGGGAGTGGAGGCTGTGGTGGGTACCATCAGGGGTGGGTTTCCCAGGACCTCACATGGCCAATGGCAGAGTTGGTTTTGGACAGTTGCCTCAGCCAGAGGATAACATTGTCTGATGACAACTCTGCTTACATAAAACGTTATCTTTTCTCATTCTTACAACTTCACTCCCTGGGCCCAAGCAGTAGCCAGTGAGTGTGACTTAAGAAGAGGCAAGAGAAAGAGATGTTGACCTCACCCCAGCTTCCCACTGTAGGTTTCCCAGACTCAATAAAGACAAAATGGTGAAATGAGAATTTTACATTGACTGTGTTTTGATTTACAAGACTGGATTGGAATATTTAGTCTTTCAAAATAACACTATAAATTCATGCCTGAGCACAACAAAGACAGCTATACTATTTACCTGAGATTTCTTCTTGAATTGGGATAAAGTAAGTCCACAGACCTGTTTAAAGATAGTGATATGGGAAGAGAAAGCCTTCTTGTAATTTCCTCTATAATGAGTCCCATTCCTTCAATAAAGTGTAACATTTACACTAATATATTGTAAATTTGTATTCTCCCTTCCCTGACTTCCCACACTCTGCCTACACTCACGGTTAAGTTTCCCACACTCTAAAAATCTTCCCAACTACTGACACTGGTAATTCATTTAGCCATCAGTTTCAGCTGCTTTGCTTTGTCAAATACTTGAAATAGTAGCTTTTGGTAGTATTTCTAGTTTTATCTTATGAAATTATTTTAATTGTTTTAATATTTTAATCTTTAAGTCACTTTAGGAATTACTTCTATATGAGCATCATCAGTGACTTTATATTACAAAATGTAAAACGAGAAACAAAAAACCTGGTGGAATTTCTGAAGGTCTCCTTCCTGGAGAACTCTGATGTGTGTTACCTAAGATGCTTCTTTTTAGGCCAGCTGCATTACTTATTTGATAATTGTGGAACTCCCCTTATCAAATGATGAACAACCTGGATTGATCCTCTAAATATTTTGTTTTTTGCCTCTTTAATTTTCTTTATTCTTTTCTTTGTATTAGATATTTTTCTGAAAGTTTTTTCTTGAGTTTCTAGTTGTGTAATCTTTTTCTTTCCGCCACTTATTTCTTCAATTATTCTCTGTTATGTAAAATTTTAATAAAAGTATACATGCATTTAAAAAATTAAAAAGATTAAGTGGTATGGAAGATTAATAATAAAAAGTGATCATTGTTCATCCTCTAAACCATTATGCTCCCGAGGATAATAATACTAACTCTGATAGCTATTTTTCTGATCTTTATAACCGTCTTTCTAAAGAAAAGTGATTGTTGTGACATCTTGACTTATTTATTTTAGCATTATATACTGTCCTCTGATTGTAGATTAGTGATATGGTTAAACAGTATTCAAGTGATTCAATAAATCAGTTTTAGCATAATCTTAACTAGCAAATATTGTTTGTTTCAGTTAGTATATTATTTCCTTTTCACTTTGGTATAACTTTTGCTTTTCCTAGAAATAAAAAAAATTCTTGTTGTTTTTCTTTGTTTTAAATATACTTTCCTGACTACCAACCAACCCTGGTCATACTTCAAATGAAAGATCAATCAGCTATTTGTCTAGAATCTCTCCTACATCTCATCTGGATGTTTCACAATCATTTTTTATCATTAATAGCAATTATTTTATCTTTCATTTTAGAATTTTATAAATATGGTTAATCTGTACTATCAAACTGAAATTATTTAAGAGAAAAATCTTATCATCTTTGTACTCTTCAGTGTTTAGAAAATGCATGTTACTTGAATTTAAATGGATTTGATTAAATTAGTTGATTTTAAAGACGTATATGCGATCTTTGCAAAGAGTGTGTTAACCTAAGAATAATTGGCGAGTTACTTCATAAAATTGCTTATACAACAAATGTTACTTTAAAATTTGCTCTTCTATTTTAAATAATAAATGCATTTCAGTGCATGCAATATGAAGCCTTTCATAATAAAAATGAAGTTATCAAGGCTATGAAGAAATGCAATGTGACATAAAAATTAAATATGCCATTTTAAAAATAAACACATTAGTGATTATTAATTTGTTAGAACTAATCTTGACTCTTATTTCTCAGAAAATTATCTCCATGCATAAATGATAATGTGTTTATTGATATGGTAAAACACAATTGTTTGAAAAGAAGCCCCTTAAGTATTTTCTTTATTATTTTAAACACAAAGTGAGTAATTTAGCTTTGAGAAAATTAACGCTCATTATTCTGCAATTACTTTTGCATTTGCTATTATAAAGTGACAGTTGTGATTTAGCAAACTACTTTTTAATATAGATGTGACTAAATTTATTTTTGGTTACTGAACATGTGAGTCAATATAGAAAGTTAACTTAATAAATTCTTCAATTGTTTTACTTCAATGTCTTAATACCATAATAGATAGTGAGACTCTTATTAATGTGATAAGAGATTAATACTTTATAGGGACATACACATTGCCTAATATGATCCATCTTTATTTCACATGACACTCTATGTCTATGTCATGTTAGTGGTCAATCTAATCATTAGGGCATGAATATTAAACTTCATTTAGTCACAGTGCTTTTTTTTTTTTTTTTTAACATTTTTTAAACATTTTCTTACAACCTAATTTGAAGTTATTCAACTTGTCAGCAACATGTCTATTAATATGTGAGTTGAAATCAGCAAACATTTCTTATGAAAATCTTTAGAATAAAAGTGAAGAAAGAATTAAAATGTCCTTTAATCACTGGTATATCTCCTTACCCATGGTGTATCTTACTGTGTTTTTAATCACAGGTGTATCTACTTACCTTTTGCCCATCATTAGTATTAGGAGGAGTTAACTATATACTTTGTAATCTTCTGTAGTATCTCAGATCATAAAGAGTGACTGAAGTTAAGCATTTGGGGAGCAGAAGTCAAATTAACCTAAATACTACTTTTTTCTAGTTTTCCTTGTAATAATATGTCATATTGTCAGTGATCAGATTATTTATGACAACCAATTGTAGGAAAATAATACTACGTTAGTTTGGCCTGAAAGACATATGTCAATAAAATCTTACAGAGTCATCTGTGCAAATAACTATGTACTTAAGATATCCAAGAAAATTTCCCTTATTTTTTATAGGTTACTTAGTAAAAATCAACTGGGGAAGAAAAGGATGCAAAGTCTAGCTACTGTTCTTAGTTTCACTGGTGCACCATTTGCATGACAAGTTTTTATTAATTTCATATGGCAATTACCATAGAAAGAGTACTTAAGAGCTGCACATAACTGAAGCATTAGGTGTTACTTCCTTTTAGCTATCTTTTAGCTATTGCCAAAAATGAGGGTGGTGTCTTAACGGGTGCAGCACACCAACATGGCACATGTATACATATGTAACAAACCTGCACGTTGTGCACATGTACCTTGAAACTTAAAGTATAATAAAAAAAGAAGAAAAAAGAATAAAATCCTGTAAGTATGTAACACCTATAGTATGAGTATAAATTTTGTAAACTCTTGAAAAGTGTAGTAATTATATTCATTGTTATGTTACTACCAGTCATTGCAATTTATAAAATTTCCCTGAAATAACAGTAAAATTTTTGCATTATCATTAATATTAATGCAATAGTGAATAACATATGTCTGACACCTACAAAGAGAAAAAAATCATAAATACATATCAAGTGAAATGAATCTTTTGTGAGAATTACACAAGGTAGGGAATAGAGTGGCAGTTAAGAGACTCAGGTAAGAAATTTAGTTACAGATGGAACTAGGAGCTTCCTGGTGAAAAAAGAAGTAAGCAAATGTAAGGAATTAAAACCCTGGAAAATAGCAGAAGGGAGAAAGATTAAACTGATTGATAGCTAGTAGAGCAGAAATCTATAGTAAAATGTGGGTGTTTTGATGAATAAAAGGAGATTCAGAATGGAAAGAAGAGCTAAAGGAACTGAATGCTGGATTGTTGATTGCTGTTTATTATGATACCACTAGCTTCTACACAGAGCATGATTTCTAGGTGGCAATACTTGTTGTGAGGGGATCAGGTAGAAGACGTTACAGCGGACAACCTCTGATAGAATCTTTGAGGAAGGAGTAACTTGGTTCTAAGGCTGCTTCAGAGATGTTCCAAAGTCCTTCAGGGCAAAGTACTCAGCAAGCCAAATGACCATGCATTGGGTATCATTTTCTAAGCGCAACAGCATTACATGTGTTCTTTTTCTATTTTCAAATTTATTGTCTGATTTATTTAAATATCCCACAACATTTGAAGTAATGGTCGCTTTTTAATATAATGAAACATCAGTGTATATGTTTATATGTATGTATTATATTCAATATTTTTTATTTTTTCCTTATTTTTATGAATATTTTGTGTATTTTATCTTTCACGGCCTTAGAGAGGGTTTAAGAAAATCTTTAGCATCATTTGGGTCTATCTTTGCCCATTTGTTGTTTCTACAGTTAATGCAGTTCTTGCTTTACGCATTTTGAAGCTCTATTATTTCATACATGAAGTTTCACAAGAGATAATCCTATGTTACAGCATTTTCCTTTTACATCATGTTTCTCATAAAATGCCCATCTTTAAAGTTGGACATTTGAGCAATAAAATATTGTAATCCTTTGTATAAATATGTCCAATATTATCAGCAATTGGATGTATCCAGAT